>NC_000009.12:38646363-38797878 GCF_000001405.40 Homo sapiens | reverse complement strand
CCAAAGGGAAATAAGTCACTATATGAAAAAAGATACATGCACACACATGCATGTTGATAGCAGCACAATTTGCAGTTGCAAAGATATGGAATCAACCTAAGTGCCCATCAACCAATGAGTGAATAAAGAAAATGTAGTATATATACACCATGGAATACAACTCAGACATAAAAAGAAATAAAATAATGTCTTTTGCAGCAACTTGGGTGGAGTTGGGGGCCATTATTTTAAGTGAAGTAACTCAAGAATGGAAAACCAAATATCATATGTTCTCCCTTATAAGTGGGAGCTAAGATATGAGGATGCAAATACATAAGAATGATATAATGGACTTTGGGGACTCAGGGGAAGAGTGGGAGAGGCATAAGTGATAAAAGACTACATGTTGGGTACAGTGTACACTGCTCAGGTGACAGGTACACCAAAATCTCAGAAATTACCACCAAAGAACTTATCCATGTAAGCAAAAACTACCCGTACCTCCAAAACTATTGAAATAAAAATACAAATTAAAAAACAATTAATATCTATCCTTCTCAAGCTTTTCCAAAAAATTGAAAAGGAGGGAACACTTTCTAATTTATTCTATAAGGACAGCATTACCCTGATATGAAAACCAGGGAAAGATATTCCAAGAAAAGAAAGCTACAGACCAATAACCCTTATGAATAAAGATGCAAAAATCCACAATAAAATGCTAGCAAATAAAATCCATCAGCATATTAAAAGGATTTTATACCATATCTAAGTGGAATTCAGCCCAGGAAAGCAAGGATGGTCCAACATTAGAAACCCAATGTATTATATGACATTAATAGGATAAAGGTGTGTGGGGGCAAGGAGAAATTCAGGATCATCTCAACTGCAGAAAATGCATTCAACAAAATGTGCCACACTTTCATGATAAAAATCCTCAGGCCGGGCATGGTGGCTCACATCTGTAATCCCAGCACTTTGGGAGCCGGAGGTGGGTGGATCATGAGGTCAGGAGTTTGAGACCAGGCTGGTCAACATGGTGAAACCCCGTCTGTACTAAAAAAAAAAAAAAAAAAAAAAAAAAATGAGCTGGGCTTGGTGGCAGGTGCCTGTAGTCCCAGCTACTCAGGAGGCTGAGGCAGAAGAATCACTTGAACCCGAGACGCGGAGGTTGCAGTAAGCCAAGATCGAGTCACTGTACTCCAACCTGGGCGACAAAGCTAGACTTCGTCTCAAAAGAAAAAAAAAATCCTCATATAAAATTAGAAATTGAAGGGGAATTCCTTAACATAAAATAAGGGCATTTATGAAAAACCCATAGTCAAAATCATATTCACTGGTTAAAGACTAAAACTTTCCCCTAAGGTCAGGAACAAAACAAGGAGGACCCCTTTTACCACTTTCATTTAACATTGTACTGGAAGTTTTAGCCAGAGAAATCAGAAATGAAAAATAAATAAGAAGCATCAAAAGATCTCTATTCACTGATAAACCTAGATATAGAAAATCCCAAAGAATCCACTACTACAGCTAATAAACAAATTCAGCAAAGGTACAGCTGAACACAAAAATCACATGTGTTCTTAGAAAGGTGCAGTGAATAATTTAAAAACTAAATTAAGACAATTCCATTTATAATAGCATAAAAATGATTTTAAAAACCTCAAATTAAATATTATCAAGGAAGTGAAAGTATTACACAATGAAAACTACAAACCATTGCTGAAAGAAATTAAAGAATACCTAAATAAATGGAAATATGCCTTGTGTTCATGGATTGGAAGACTTATATTGCCACAATGGCAATACTTAAACAGATCTAGTTTCAATACAATCTATGTCAAAATTTGAATAGCCTTTTTGCAGAAATTGAAAAGCTAATTATCAAATATGTAAGGAATTGCAAAAGATCTCGAACAGCTAAGACAGTATTATTGAAAAAGAAGAGTAAAGTTGGAGGACTCACGCTTTCTAATTTCAAAACTTATTACAAAGTTAACAATAATCAAAACAGTGTGGCACTGTTTATCCTTATGGATAAACATATAGATGAGAAAATAGAATTGTGATTCCAGAAATAAGCCCATTCATTTGTGGTGATTAATTTTTGACGGGGTGCAAAGACCATTCAATGGGGAAAGAATAGTCTCTTCAACAAATAGTGCTTAGACAACCAAATAGCCACGTGCAAAAGAATGAAGTTGAACCCTTATTTCATACCATATAGAAAAACTAACTCAAAATGTATCAAAGACCTAAATGCAAGAGCTAAATCTACAAAACTCTTAGAAGAAAACCTATGGTTAAATCTTCCTGATCTTGAATCTGAGATTAGGTTCTCAGATACAGATTAGGTACATACATGTTCTTAGACATGACCCCAAAAGCATGAACAACAAATTAAGAAATATATAAATTGGGCTCCATCAAAATTTAAAACTTTTGTACACCAAATGATATTATTAGGAAAGTTTAAAAATAGCCTACAGAATGGGAGAAAAAAATTGCAAATCTCTAAATGATGTGTCTATATAAAGAACTTTAACTACTCAACAATAGAAAGACAAACAACTCAATTAAAATCAAATGGTCAAAGAGTTTATATATGTATTTCTCCAAAGAAGATCTACAAATGGCCAACAAGCACATGAAAAGATGTTCAATATTATTAGTTATTAGAGAAATACAAATCAAAACCACGATGAGATACCACTTCACTACCAGGATGGCTATAATTAAAAAAAAAATATTAAACACCAAGTGTTGGTGAAGATGTGGAGTAAATCATACATG
This sequence comes from Homo sapiens, assembly GCF_000001405.40. NCBI lineage: Eukaryota > Metazoa > Chordata > Mammalia > Primates > Hominidae > Homo > Homo sapiens. Next base: position 38,795,109 of record NC_000009.12, on the reverse strand, counting down.
GCTAGTGATGATGATGTTTGCGGAAAACAGTTTGGCAGTGGTCAAAAAGTTGAACATAGAATTACTATATGACTCAGCAATTTCACTCCTAGGTATATACCCCAAAGAAATGAAAACGAGTTCTCAAACAAATACATGTACATACATGTTCAAAAGAGCTCTATTCAAAACAGCCAAAAGTTGGAAACAACCCAGATGTCCGTCAACAGAGGAATGTATAAACAAATTATGATATACACATATAGTGGAATATTATGCAGCCATAAAAAGAAGTGGAGTACTGATAAATGCTATAACATGAATGAACCTCAAAAACATTATGCTAAATGAAAGAAGTCAGGCCCACAAAAAATTATACAGGGTTATTGTATAATTTCATTTATATGAAATATCCAGGATAGGTAAACCCATAAAACAGATCGGTGGTTGACAGAGACAGGAGGAGAGGACAGGTGGGATTTGACTGCTTACATGGTTTTATTTTGCAGTGATGAAAATATTTTGAAACTAAACAGAGGTGGTACTTCTATAACATTGTAAATATGCTCAGTGTCACCGAATTGTTCACTGTAAAATGGTTAACTTTATGTTACGTGAATTTTACCTCAATTTTTTTCTAAAAGCAAGACAAAATTATTTGCTGTATTATAAACATACAAAATTCGAAAGAGTTTGCTTTTTAAAAAAAGTAACCATTTACTGGTACCAAAACAGATATATAGACCAATGGAACAGAACAGAAGCCTCAGAAATAATGCCACACATCTACAACCATCTGATTTTTGACAAACCTGACAAAAACAAGCAATGGGGAAAGGATTCCCTATTTAATAAATGGTGTTGGGAAAACTGGCTAGCCATATGCAAAAAAACTGAAACTGGATCCCTTCCTTACACCTTATACAAAAATTAACTCAAGATGGATTAAAGACTTAAATGTTAGACCTAAAACCATAAAAACCCTAAAAACCCTAGAAGAAAACCTAGGCAATACCATTCACAACATAGGCATGAGCAAAGACTTCATGACTAAAACACCAAAAGCAATGGCAACAAAAGCCAAAATTGACAAATGAGATTTAATTAAACTAAAGAGCTTCTGCATAGCAAAGGAAACTGTCATCAGACTGAACAGGCAACCTACAGAATGGGAGAAAATTTTTGCAATCTATCCTTCTGACAAAGGGCTAATATCCAGAATCTACAAGGAACTTAAAGAAATTTACAAGTAAAAATAAAAAACCCCATCCATCAAAAAGTGGGCAAAGGATATGAACAGACACTTCTCAAAAGAAGACATTTATGTGGCCAAAAAACATATGAAAAAAAGCTCATCATCACTGGTCATTAGAGAAATGCAAATCAAAACCACAATGAGATACCAAAACCACAAAGAGATTGCCAGCTAGAATGGCAATCATTAAAAAGTCAGGAAACCACAGATGCTGGAGAGGATGTGGAGAAATAGGGATGCTTTTACACTGTGGGTAGAAGTGTGAATTAGTTCAACCATTGTGGAAGACAGTGTAGCGATTCCTCAAGGATCTAGAACCAGAAATACCATTTGACCCAGCAATACCATTACTGGGTATATAACCCAAAGGATTATAAATCATTCTACTATAAAGACACATGGAAATGTATGTTTATTGCAGCACTGTTCACAATAGCAAAGACTTGGAACCAACCCAAATGCCCATCAGTGACAGACTGGATAAAGAAAATGTGGTACATATACACCATGGAATACTATGCAGTCATAAAAAAGGATGAGTTCACATCCTTTTCAGGGACATGGATGAAGCTAGAAACCATCATTCTCAGCAAACTTACCCAGGAACAGAAAATGAAACACCCCATGTTCTCAGTCATTAAGTGGGAGTTGAACAATGAGAACACATGGACACAGGGAGGGCAACATCACACACTAGGGCCTGTCGGTGGGGGTGGGGGCCTAGGGGAAGGATAGCATTAGGAGAAATACCTAATGTTGATGATGGGGTGATGGGTGCAGCAAACCACCATAGCACGTGTACACCTATGTAACAAACCTGCACGTTCTGCATATGTATCTCAGAACTTAAAGTATGTGTGTGTGTGTGTGTGTGTGTGTGTGTGTGTATACAGTCACCATTGAAACTAATAAGAAAATTTTATCGCGTGGCTAGAAACAGGTAAATTTTACAGAGCAACTTTCCTTTATGATGGAAATAATCAACCAGAAAATTGAAATAAGGAAAAAGATTATATTTGCATGTCAGAAAAACAAGAAAATACCTAGGAATAAACCTAATAAGGTAGGTTCAAGGTCTGGATGAATGTGATGTCATGTTCCTGATTGAGGAAAAATCAAGCAAAAGTTGAGGAAGCCGTGGGGAGGCAGTGGGTACACAGGGCCAGTCCCTCCTCCTGTCCCCACAGAGAACCTGTTCTGTGTCCTCCTCCTTGGGGAGATATACCTCAGCATCATTTATACTTTACTATGTTCCTGCTAAGTGAAATGATTCAAGTGATTCCAACAGCAAATGTGTCAGACCCTATTCAAGGCATTGGGATGCACCAACTCTGACCACATAGAGCAGGGGGTGGGGATATGGAGTTGTCAGGAGGGTGAGAGGCTTACATTTTAAACGTAGGTCAATGTATGTGAAGGAAAAATACAAAATCCCATTTAGTTGCATGTATTATTTTATTCCTCTCATTCAAAATAGTAATAGTCAAAAGAGTACTATATATATATATATATATATATATATATATATATATATATTTTTTTTTTTTTTTTTTTTTTTTTTTTTTAATGAAACTTAAGAAATACTGGCCAGGGCCAGGTGTGGTGGCTCACACCTGTAATCCCAGCACTTTGGGAGGCCGAGGCGGGTGGATCACGAGGTCAGGAGATCGATACCATCCTGGCTAACACAGTGAAACCCCGTCTCTACTAAAAATACAAAAACAAAATTAGATGGGTGTGGTGGCAGGCACCTGTAGTCCCAACTACTTGGGAGGCTGAGGCAGGAGAATGGCGTAAACCTGGGAGGCAGAGCTTGCAGTGAGCTGAGGTCACACCACTGCACTCCAGCCTGGGCAACAGAGCGAGATTCCGTCTAAAAAAAAAAAACTAATAAATAAAAGTCTAAAAGTTAGCCATGTTACCATCCCCTAGAAATGGTTATAACTATTTAAATATTTAAACTTCTAATGGTATATTTTGAGACAGATTATATTACAAAAATCAGTACAGAGTTGCCTGGTTTTCTGCCTCACCCTTTTAACTTAATTATAAACATTTGTAAATGTGACATTGAAAAAGTAGAATAAAATCATAAAGCATCATATATTTTTTTCTCAAAAATGTCCTAACAAAAGTGCTTTTGAGGCCGATTTTGGGAGACTCTTTTGCATAAAACTTGAGCCAGTTCATAACAGATCTTGGGTGACATTTAAAAGAGGTGACAATTGAGGAAGTTGCTGTTCCCATAAGGATCACATGAGGACAATCCCAGGAAGCCCGGCTGCAAAACCAGAGACATTGGGTACAGCCCACTGGAGCGTCAGCCTCACCGCCGGGGACACTGGTCTCAGGGATAGGAAGTGTGTGGAGGGGGTGGGAAGAAGGAATAGCAGTGCCCACAGGGTTTCCAGGGCCAAGGGGAGGCCCTCAAGGGGCCTAGGATCAGAACTGTTTACCAACCAATATTAAAGTATTTTAATATTTTAATAACCAGTGCAACCACACCAGTACATCTCAGCTAAACATCAGCCCTGGCCACAACAGTATTATTTCAATAATTAGGATGTCCACTTCCATGCAATAGTCAAAACTTTGATTTTCTCTACTTCTCCACCTCAGACCTGCTTCAAACTGGGAAGAAAGCTCACTGAGTATGTCTATCTGGGGGAAGAAAGGCATGAAAGAGAGATGAAGAACAGAAAAGGCCCTATTTAATCTGATGTTACAGAATGTTCACAACCGGCTCTATCCCTGAAAGATTCCTACTGAGAGATCCACAGTGATTTCCCATTTTGCACACCCAGTTATGTCTCAAGATACAAGCAATGTGGCTCTCCCTGCTGACTCCTTTCAGGCACCACTTCCAGCATCCGCCCCTGGAGGTGCAACCCACAGCCTCTCCGCTGGTGCCCCTCAACTCTTGGTCAGGGTCCCTTCTGCACAGCTCCACCTCAATTACCTCCTAGACTGTACTTGACTCATGGGACCCCCTTGTCATGCAAATGATGAAAGTGTAGGCACCCACACCACTTTCCTCTCTTCTTGCCGTGGTTCCTGGTTCCTCTCAGTGTCTTGGACCTGTGGTTTTCACAGGCAGAGGTCCAACATTTGCTTCTTAATTTGCTCCTAGAATCCAGGGAGATGATACAAGCTCATAGAATAGCCTCCTTACAGGCCCTCCTGCCAGGCAAGGATGTGGGAGAGTAAATATTCAACCGCACCCAGCAACATTCTCCTGAGAAATCTCCCTATTCAACCATTCAATGCAATTGTCTTCTATCCTTGAATGGATCTTGAACAAAGGTCTGTCACAAAGCTATTCACCAATTCATCTGCAAAATCCAAGAAAATGATTAAACATCATTTTTATAATGACTAAGGACTTGACATCTTTTGTTTCTTTTTTTTTTTTTTTGAGTCGTAGTCTTGCTCTGTCGCCCAGGCTGGAGTGCAATGGCGCGATCTCGGCTCACTGCAAGCTCTGCCTCCCGAGTTCACGCCATTCTCCTGCCTCAGCCTCCTGAGTAGCTGGGACTACAGGCGCCCACCACCACGCCCGTCTAATTTTGTTTTTGCATTTTTAGTAGAGACGGGGTTTCACCATGTTAGCCAGGATGGTCTTGATCTCCTGACCTCGTGACCTACCCGCCTTGGTCTCCCAAAGTGCTGGGATTACAGGCGTGAGCCACCGCACACGGTCTGTATATTTACTCTGTTAGGGGAAATTCCTAGATATCTAATTTCTACCAAATTTTCAATGGGTATAAAAGACACTTGAAAATGTAGTGCTTATTGTCATATTGTCCTCTGTTCCTCTGTGAAGATTTGGATATTTATGTTAACAACAGCACTATATGAGTGATTGATTCCCCAGAAACCAGGATTTTTATTTTTCACTTTTTTTTTTTCTTGAGATGGAGTCTGGCTCTGCCGCCCAGGCTGTAGTGCAGTGGCGCGATCTCGGCTCACTGCAAGCTCCGCCTCCTGGGTTCACGCCATTCTCCTGCCTCAGCCTCCCGAGTAGCTGGGACTACAGGCGGCCGCCACCACGCCCGGCTAATTTTTTGTATTTTGTAGTAGAGACGGGGTTTCACCGTGTTAGCCAGGATGGTCTCATCTCCTTATCTCGTGATCCGCCCGCCTCGGCCTCCCAAAGTGCTGGGATTACAGGTGTGAGCCACGGCGCCCAGCCTATTTTTCACTTAAAAAAAAATCATAATGACAGGCAAGAGAGATATCTCATCGTGCTTCCCAATTTGCACATGAAAAATGTGTGGAACCTGGGTCAAGCTCTGTGGTCTGGCCGGTCTCAGCTTCCTGGAGTTCTCTCCAGGTAGAGAAAATGGGGAAAGTACTCTTTTCAGAAAGAACAATGTTAAGTACACGTTTGGGAATTGAATATGAAGACCACTTTGGAAAAAATCTTGAAATTTGGGCATTATTTCTATCAGCTGTGCTCAACCAGGGGAAATTTTGCCGCCTCGGGACATTCAGCAATGTCTGGAGACATTTTTATTTGTTACAACTGTTGAGGGGAGGTGGTGCAGAAGGTCTGAAGAAGAGAATGGAGAGAAAGTGTGTGTAATACAGAAATAAATTGATGGAGAGATAATATGTCCTCAGATATCCTATCAACTGGACATACTCTACTAGACAATGATAGAAAACTGAAAAAATTAAGAATGATGAACTAATAAATCAGAGACTTTAAGAACTTTAATCTTCAGGAAATTACCTAATTAGAAACCACTTAAAAATTAGAAGGAAAAAAAAGGCTGTTACATGTTCAAATTTCTTTTTGTCAATAAATGTCCCAGTTACAATTTGGGCAGATTAAAAATCAGAACCTGGAAGAAAAGAAACCAAGAACAGGCTCTCCTGTGCATAAGGAATGAAGCTGAAGTGTGGCTTGGAAACAAGAAAAGATAGAAATCACAGAAGTATTTTGAAGGAAATATAAATAAGACAGATCTGGAGAATCTGTTAAAGAGCCAAGAGAGAAAAATACAGGTTTACATCCCAGTAATATGCTTCACTTTAAAGGCAATGGGATTACCAAGTAAGGATAGCATTATACTTTACTTTCAACAAAATACCTTTATTCTGTTTACACCATTTCTTTAAATGCTCTGGTTTTCATATAGAATATCCAAACACCTGGTGTGCCTGGGACTGAGGTTATACTCAGGGTGCAGGGCTATCGGCAGTAAGATCTGGACAGTGCCAGACAAGCTGGGAGTAAGCAAACTCGCTGTATCTTCGTGGGCTTCGATGCTTCACTTTCTTATATGCTAAGCATTTCTTATTTTCATTTTATTTTTTAATTTCTCATTGTGATTTTAAAAACACATACAGGCCAGGCGTGGTGGCTCACGCGGTAATCCCAGCACTTTGGGAGGCCGAGGTGGGCGGATCACCTGAGGTCGGGAGTTCGAGACCAGCCTGGCTAACACGGTGAAAAACCCCATCTCTACTAAAAACTACAAAAAAATTAGCTGGGCCTGGTGGCGGGCACCTGTAGTCCCAGCTGCTCAGGAGGCTGAGGCAGGAGAATGGCGTGAACCCAGGAGGCAGAGCTTGCAGTGAGCCGAGATCACGCCACTGCACTCCAGCCCAGGCAACAGAGTGAGACTCTGTCTCAAAAAAATTTAAAAAAAATTAAAAATTAAAAAATATATATATATTTTAAAACACATAAGAAATTTACCATTTCAACCACTTTTTAAGTGCACAGTTCAGTAGCGTTCACTGTATGCACAGTGTTGTGTAACAAATCTCCAGAACTTTTTAATCTTGCAAACCTGAAACTAAACCAGTTAAACAACGTCTCCCCATTTCTCCATGTCCCCAGTCTCTGGCAATCACCATTGTAGTTTCTGTTTCTATGAGTTTGTCTATTTTTGAAACCTCCTATAAATGTAATCATACAATACTTGTCTTTTTGTGATTGGCTTATTTCACTTAGTACAATATCCTCAAGGTTCATTCATGTTGTAGCATGTGACAGAATTTTCTTCTTTGTTAAGGTCAAATAGTATTCCATTGTATGTATATTCCACATTTTCTTTATTCATCTTTTAATAGACATTTGGGTTGCTTCCAACTCTTGACTTTTGTGAATAATGCTGCAGTTAACATGGGTATGCAGATAACTCTTTGACATAATTATTTTAGTTCTTTTGCATACATACCCAGAAGTGAGATTCCTGGATCATATAGTAGTTCTATTTTTAATTATTTGGGGAACCTCAGATCATTTTTCCATAGCAGCTGCACCATTTTTTCATTCCTACCAACAGTGTAAAAGGGTTCCAGTTTCTTCTCATCCTTCCAATATGTTTTGCTTGGTCTTTTTTTGTAGTGACCATCCTGATGGGTAGGCGATTGCTCATTGTAGTTTTAATTTGATTAAAGGCACTGAACATTTTTTTAATGTTTATACTTCTTCTTGGGAGGAATGTCTATTCAAGTTCTTGGCCCATTTTTTTAACAGATTGTCTTTTGTTGTTGACTTGTAGTGGTTCTCTATAGACAAGTATTCTGGATATTAACCCCTTTTAGATATAATTTGCAAATATTTTCTCTCATTTCACAGGTTGCTTTGTCACTGTTTCTTTGATGTGCAAAAATTTTTAAGTTTGATGTAGTCCTATTTGTCTACCTTTTTCTTTTGTTTCCTATTCTTTTGGTATCATATTCAAGAAATCATTACCAAATTCAGTGTCATGAAGCTTTTCTTACACTTTTCTCCTAGTCATTTTACAGTTGTAGGTCTCATGTCTAGGTCTTTAATCAATTTTAAGTTAATTTTTATATATGATGTAAGGTTAAGTTTCAACTTCATTCTTTTGCATGTGGATATCTAGTGTTTACAACATCAATTATTGAAGAGACTGTCCTTTCCCCATTGTTTTGTCTTGGTACCCTTGTTGAAGATCATGTATGTGAGAGTTTAATTCTGAACTTCCTGTTCTGTTTCATTGGTCTGTATATGTGTCTTTATGCCAGTGTTACACTGTCTTTAATTACTGTAGCTTCAAAATATTCTTAAAATCAAAAGTGTGAGCACTCTAACTTCATTCTTCTTTTTTAAGATTGTTTTGGCTATGCAGGGTCCCTTGAGATTCTATGTAAATTATAGAATGGTTTTATTCCATTTCTGCAAAAAAGTCATTTGCATTTTGTTAAGAATTGCATTGAATCAGTAAATCACTTTGGGTACATGGATATCTTAACACTAAGTCTTTCAATTCATGAGTACAGGATGTCTTTCTATTTATTTATGTCTCTTTAATTTCTTTCAGCAATGTCTTGTAGGTTTTTTGTGTTTTGCTGTGTTTTGTTTTGTTTTGTTGAGACAGGGTCTCACTCTGTTTGCCCAGGCTGGAGTGCAGTGGCATGATCTCGGCTCACTGCAGCCTCGACCTCCTGAGCTCAGGTGATTCTCCCACCTCAGCCTCTCAAGTAACTGGGACTACAGGCACGTGCCACCATGCCTGGCTATTTTTTGTATTTTTAGTAGAGAGGGGGTTTCGCCATGTTGCCCAACTTGGTCTTGAACTCCTGGACTCAAGCAATCCACCCACCTTGGCCTCCCAAAGTGCTGGGATTACAGGTGTGAGCCACTGCACCCAGCCTGTTTCGTAGTTTTCAGTGTGCAAGGTTTTCCCATCCTTGGTTAAGTTTATTCCAAAGTATCTTATTCTTCTTGTTACTATTGTTTATGCTTTTATAAGTTCTTGATGGGATTGTTTTCTTAAATGCGTTTTTGGATTACTGACTGTTAGTGTATAAATATGCAATTACTTTTTGTTCACTTTGGATTATAAAATTTTGTTGAATTTATTAGTTCTAACAGTTTTTAGTGCTTTCTACAATAAGATTATGTCATCTGTAAACAGAGATCATTTTACTTCTTGCTTTCCATTTTGGATAGCTGTTATTTCTTTCTCATATCTAATTTCCCAGGCTAAGACTGTCACTACTATGTTGAATAGAAGTGGTCAGTATGGGCCAGGCGTGGTGGTTCACGCCTGTAATCCCAGCACTTTGGGAGGCCAAGGCAGGAGGATCACGAGGTCAGGAGATCGAGACCATCCTGGCTAACACGGTGAAACCCCGTCTCTACTAAAAAAATACAAAAAAAAAAAAAAATTAGCCGGGCATGGTGGCGGGCGCCTGTAGTCCCAGCTACTCAGGAGGCTGAGGCAGAAGAATGGCTGAACCCGGGAGGCGGAGCTTGCAGTGAGCCGAGATCGTGCCCCTGCACCCCAGCCTGGGGAACAGAGCGAGACTCCGTCTCAAAAAAAAAAAAAAAAAAAAGAAGTGGTCAGTATGGACATTCTTGCCTTGTTCTTTTTCTTTTTTTTTTATTATTATTATACTTTTAAGTTCTAGAGTACATGTGCACAATGTGCAAATTTGATACATATGTATACATGTGCCATGTTGGTGTGCTGCACACATTAACTCATCATTTACATTAGGTTTATCTCCTAATGCTATCCCTCCCCTCACCCAACAACAGGCCCCAGTGTGTGATGTTCCCCTTCCTGTGTCCAAGTGTCCTGATTGTTCAATTCCCACCTATGAGTGAGAACATGCAGTGTTTGGTTTTTTATCCTTGCGATAGTTTGCTCAGAATGATGGTTTCCAGCTTCATCCATGTCCCTACAAAGGACATGAACTCATCCTTTTTTATGGCTGCATAGTATTCCATGGTGTATATGTGCCACATTTTCTTAATCCAGTCTATCATTGATTGACATTTTGGTTGGTTCCAAGTCTTTGCCATTGTGAATAGTGCTGCAATAAACATACATGTGCATGTGTCTTTATAGGAGTGTGATTTATAATCTTTTGGGTATATACCCAGTAATGGGATGGCTGGGTCAAATGGTATTTCTAGTTATAGATCCTTGAGGAATTGCCACACTGTCTTCCACAATGGTTGATCTAGTTTACAGTCCCACCCACAGTGTAAAAGCATTCCTATTTCTCCACATCCTCTCAAGCACCTGTTGTTTCCTGACTTTTTAATGATCGCCATTGTAACTGGTGTGCGATGGTATCTCATTGTGGTTTTGATTTGCATTTCTCTGATGGCCAGTGATGATGAGCATTTTTTCATGTGTCTGTTGGCTGCATAAATGTCTTCTTTTGAGAAGTGTCTGTTCATATCCTTTGCCCACTTTTTGATGGGGTTGTTTGTTTTTTTCTTGTAAATTTGTTTGAGTTCTTTGTAGATTCTGGATATTAGCCCTTTGTCAGATGAGTAGATTGCAAAAATTTTCTCCCATTCTGTAGGTTGCCTGTTCACTCTGATGGTAGTTTCTTTTGCTGTGCCCAAGCTCTTTAGTTTAATTAGATCCTATTTGTCAATTTTGGCTTTTGTTGCCATTGCTTTTGGTGTTTTAGACATGAAGTCCTTGCCCATGCCTATGTCCTGAATGGTATTGCCTAGGTTTTCTTCTAGGGTTTTTATGTTTTTAGGTCCAACATTTAAGTCTTTAATACATCTTGAATTAATTTTTGTATAAGGTGTAAGGAAGGGACCCAGTTTCAGCTTTCTACATATGGCTAGCCGGTTTTCCCAGCACCATTTGTTAAATAGGGAATCCTTTCCCCATTTCTTGTTTTTGTCAGGTTTGTCAAAGATCAGATGGTTGTAGATGTGTGGTATTATTTCTGAGGGCTCTGTTCTGTTCCACTGGTCTGTATCTCTGTTTCGGTAACAGTACCATGCTGTTTTGGTTACTATAGCCTTGTAGTATAGTTTGAAGTCAGGTAGCGTGATGCCTCCAGCTTTGTTCTTTTGGCTTAGGATTGTCTTGGCAATGTGGGCCCTTTTTTGGTTCCTATGAACTTTAAAGTAGTTTTTTCGAATTCTGTGAAGAAAGTCATTGGTAGCTTGATGGGGATGACATTGAATCTATAAATTACCTTGGGCAGTATGGCCATTTTCATGATATTGATTCTTCCTATCCATGAGCATGGAATGTTCTTCCATTTGTTTGTGTCCTCTTTTATTTCGTTGAGCAGTGGTTTGTAATTCTCCTTGAAGAGGTCCTTCACATCCCTTGTAAGTTGGATTCCTAGTATTTTATTCTCTTTGGAAGCAATTGTGAATGGGTGTTCACTCATGATTTGGCTCTCTGTTTGTCTGTTATTGGTGTGTAAGAATGCTTGTGATTTTTGCTCATTGATTTTGTATCCTGAGACTTTGCTGAAGTTGCTTATCAGCTTAAGGAGATTTTTGGCTGAGATGATGGGGTTTTCTAAATATACAATCATGTCATCTGCAAACAGGGACAATTTGACTTCCTCTTTTCCTAATTGAATACCCTTTATTTCTTTCTCCTGCCTTATTGCCCTGGCCAGAACTTCCAGCACTGTGTTGAATAGGAGCAGTGAGAGAGGGCATCCCTGTCTTGTGCCAGTTTTCAAAGGGAATGCTTCCAGTTTTTGCCCATTCAGTATGATATTGGCTGTGGGTTTGTCATAGATAGCTCTTACTATTTTGAGATACATCCCATCAATACCTAATTTATTGAGAGTTTTTAGCATGAAGGGCTGTTGAATTTTGTCGAAGGCCGTTTCTGCATCTATTGAGATAATCATGTGGTTTTTTGTCTTTGGTTCTGTTTATATGCTGGATTACGTTTATTAATTCGTGTATGTTGAACTAGCCTTGCATCCCAGGGATGAAGCCCACTTGATCATGGTGGATAAGCTTTTTGATGTGCTGCTGGGTTCAGTTTGCCAGTATTTTATTGAAGATTTTTGCATCAATGTTCATCAGGGATATTGGTCTAAAATGCTCTTTTTTGTTGTTGTTGTGTCTCTGCCAGGCTTTGGTATCAGGAAGATGCTGGCCTCATAAAATGAGTTAGGAAGGATTCCCTCTTTTTCTGTTGATTGGAATAGTTTCAGAAGGAATGGTACCAGCTCCTCCTTGTACCTCTGGTAGAATTCGGCTGTGAATCCATCTGGTCCTGGACATCTTTTGGTTGGTAGGCTATTAATTATTGCCTCAATTTCAGAGCCTGTTATTGGTCTATTCAGGGATTCAACTTCTTCCTGGTTTAGTCTTGGGAGGGTGTATGTGTCCAGGAATTTATCCATTTCTTCTAGATTTTCTAGCTTATTTGCATAGAGGTGTTTATAGTATTCTCTGATGGTAGTTTGTATTTCTGTGGGATCAGTGGTGATATCCCCTTTATCATTTTTTATTGCATCTAATTCTTCTCTCTTTTCTTCTTTTTTAGTCTTGCTAGCAGTCTATCAATTTTGTGGATCATTTCAAAAAACCAGCTCCTGGATTCATTGATTTTTGAAGGGTTTTTTGTGTCTCTATTTCCTTCAGTTCTGCTCTGATCTTAGTTATTTCTTGCCTTCTGCTAGCTTTTGAATGTGTTTGCTCTTGCTTCTGTAGTTCTTTTAATTGTGGTGTTAGGGTGTCAATTTTAGATCTTTTCTGTTTTCTCTTATGAGCATTTAGTGCTATACATTTCCCTCTCCACACTGCTTTAAATGTGTCCCAGAGATTCTGGTATGTTGTGTCTTTGTTCTCGCTGGTTTCAAAGAACATGTTTATTTCTGCCTTCATTTCATTATGTAGCCAGTAGTCATTCAGGAGCAGGTTCTTCAGTTTCCATGTAGTTGAGTGGTTTTGATTGAGTTTCTTAATCCTGAGTTCTAGTTTGATTGCACTGTGGTCTGAGAGACAGTTTGTTATAATTTCTGTTCTTTTACATTTGCTGAGGAGTGCTTTACTTCCAACTATGTGGTCAGTTTTGGAATAAGTGTGATGTGGTGCTGAGAAGAATGTATATTCTGTTGATTTGGGGTGGAGAGTTCTGTAGATGTCTATTAAGTCTGCTTGGTGCAGAGCTGCATTCAATTCCTGGATATCCTTGTTAACTTTCTGTCTCATTGATCTGTCTAATGTTGACAGTGGGGTATTAATGTCTGCCATTATTATTGCATGGGAGTCTAAGTCTCTTTGTAGGTCTCTAAGGACTTGCTTTATGAATCTGGGTGTTCTTTTATTGGGTGCATATATATTTAGGATAGTTAGCTCTTCTTGTTGAATTGATCCCTTTACCATTATGTAATGGCCTTCTTTGTCTCTTCTGATTTTTGTTGGTTTAAAGTCTGTTTTATCAGAGACTAAGATCACAATCCCTGCCTTTTTCTGTTTTCCATTTTCTTGGTAGATCTTCCTCCATCCCTTTATTTTGAGCCTATGTGTGTCTCTGCACGTGAGATGGGTCTCCTGAATACAGCACACTGATGGGTCTTGACTCTTTATCCAATTTGCCAGTCTGTGTCTTTTAATTGGAGCGTTTAGCCCATTTACATTTAACGTTAATATTGTTATGTGTGAATTTGATCCTGTCATTATGATGTTAGCTGGTTAGTTTGCTCATTAGTTGATGCAGTTTCTTCCTAGCATCGATGGCCTTTACAATCTGGCATATTTTTGCAGTGACTTGTACCGGTTTTTCCTTTCCATGTTTAGTGCTTCTTTCAAGAGCTCTTGTAGGGCAGGCCTGGTAGTGACAAAAATCTCTCAGAATTTGCTGGTCTGTAAAGGATTTTATTTCTCCTTCTCTTATGAAGCTTAGTTTGGCTGGATATGAAACTCTGGGTTGAAAATTCTTTTCTTTAAGAATGTTGAATATTGGCCCCCACTCTCTTCTGGCTTGTAGAGTTTCTGCCGAGAGATCCTCTGTTAGTTTGATGGGCTTCCCTTTGTGGGTAACCTGACCTTTCTCTCTGGCTGCCCTTGACATTTTTTCCTTCATTTCAACTTTGATGAATCTGACAGTTATGTGTCTTGGAGTTGCTCTTCTCAAGGAGTATCTTTGTGGCATTCTCTGTATTTCCTGAATTTGAATGTTGGCCTGCCTTGCTAGCTTGGGAAAGTTCTCCTGGATAATATCCTGCAAAGTGTTTTCCAACTTGGTTCCATTTCTCCCCGTCACTTTCAGGTACACCAATCAGACATAGATTTGGTCTTTTCACATAGTCCCATATTTCTTGGAGGCTTTGTTCGTTTCTTTTTACTCTTTTTTCTCTAAACTTCTCTTCTCACTTCATTTCATTCATCTGATCTTCAACCACTGATCGAATCGGCTACTGAAGCTTGTGCATTCGTCACGTAGTTCTTGTGCCACGGTTTTCAGTCCATCAGGTCCTTTAAGGTCTTCTCTACACTGGTTATTCTAGTCAGCCATTCGTCTAATCTTTTTTCAAGGTTTTTAGCTTCTTTGCGATGGGTTCAAACTTCCTCCTTTAGCTTGGAGAAGTTTGATCATCTGAAGCTTTCTTCTCTTGTCAAAGTCATTGTCTGTCCAGCTTTGTTCCATTGCTGGAGAGGAGCTGCATTCCTTTGGAAGGGGAGAGGCACTCTGATTTTTAGAATTTTCAGCTTTTCTGCCCTGTTTTTTCCCCATCTTTGTGGTTTTATCTACCTTTGGTCTTTGATGATGGTGACGTACAGATGGGGTTTTGGTGTGGATGTCCTTTCTGTTTGTTAGTTTTCCTTCTAACAGGCAGGACTCTCAGCTGCAGGTCTGTTGGAGTTTGCTGGAGGTCCACTCCAGCCCCTGTTTGCCTGGGTATCAGCAGCGGAGGCTGCAGAACAGTGAATATTGCTGAACAGCAAATCTTGCTGCCTGATTGCTCTTCTGGAAGCTTCATCTCAGTGTGGTACCTGGCCGTGTAAGGTGTCAGTCTGCCCCTACTGGATGGTGCCTCCCAGTTAGGCTACTCAGGGGTCAGGGACCCACTTGAGGAGGCAGTCTATCTGTTCTCAGATCTCAAACTCCATGCTGGGAGAACCACTACTCTCCTCAAAGCTGTCAGACAGGGACATTTAAGTCTGCAGAGGTTTCTGCTGCCTTTTGTTCAGCTATGCCCTGTCCCCAGAGGTGGAGTCTACAGAGGCAGGCAGGCCTCCTTGAGCTGTTGTGGGCTCCACCCAGTTCGAGCTTCCAGGCCACTTTGTTTACCTACTCAAGCCTCAGCAATGGCAGGTGCCCCTTCCCCAGCCTCACTGCCGCCTTGCAGTTCAATCTCAGACTGCTGTGCTAGCAATAAGTGAGGCTCCGTGGGCATGGGACCCTCCGAGCCATGCACGGGATATAATCTCCTGGTGTGCTGTTTGCTAAGACCACTGGAAAAGTGCAGTATTAGGGTGGGAGTGACCCAATTTTCCAGGTGCCTTCTGTCACTGCTTCCCTTGGCTAGGAAAGGGAATTCCCTGACCCCTTGTGCTTCCCAGGTGAGGCGACGCCTTGCCCTGCTTCAGCTCATGCTCAGTGGGCTGCACCCACTGTCCTGCCCCCACTATCTGACAAGCCCCAGTGAGATGAAGCCAGTACCTCAGTTGGAAATGCAGAAATCACCCATCTTCTCCATCACTTACGCTGGGAGCTTAGACTGGAGCTGTTCCTATTCGGCCATCTTGGAACTGCCCCGCCTTGTTCTTGATCTTAGGGAAAGTTTTCAGGTTTTCATCATTGAGTATGGTGTTAGCCCTGTATGTGTGCACACATATTATATTTATATAACATTTATGTGTATATCTATACATATACATACATACTTATTCAAAACCACACATAACATTTATTATGTTGAGGTAATTTTTTTCTACTCTTCGTTTCTTAATTTTGTCATGAAAGGGTGTTCAATTTTGTCACATGCTTTTTCTGAATCAATTAAGATGATTGTGTGCTTTTTGTCTTTTATTCTGTTAATGCAATGTATTACACTGATTTTCATATATTGAACTATCCTTGCATTAGGAGGAATAAAACCTGGTCACAATATATAGTTCTTTGAATGTACTGTTAAATTCAGTTTGCAAATATTTTGTTGAGGATTTTTCATTAATATTCATCAGGTGTAATAATCTATAGTTTTCTTGTATCTTTGTCTAGGTTTGGTATCAGGGTAATGTTGCCCTTATAAAATAAGTTTAGAAGTGTTTTCTCTCTGTGATTTTTTTGGAAGAGGTTAAGGATAATTATTAATTTTTCTTTAAATGTTTGGTAGATTCTCCAGTGAAATCATTTGGGTCTGGTCCATTTTTTGTTGGGAGATTTTTGAATACTGATTTATTCTCCTTACTAGTTACACATCTGTTCAGATTTCTTTATTTCTTCATGATTCCATCTTGGTAGGTTGTATCTTACCACGAATTCACCCATTTCTTCTAGTTTGCCTAACTCGTTGGCTTATAATTGTTCTTAGTAGTCCCTTATAATCCTTTCTATTTCTGTGGCATCAGTTATAATATCTGATAAAAAATGAATGAGGCATTCATTTCTGATTTTAGTTATTTGAGTATTCTCTCTTTTTCTTAATATAGCTAAAGGATTTTCAATTTTGTTGTTATTTTTTAAATCTAACTTTTATAAAAGTTATTCTTTATTCCATTTATTCTTACTCTAATCTTTATATTCTTCCTTCTGCTAACTTTGGATTTAGTTTGTTCTCTTTTACTGGTTCCTTTGTGTATAAAATTAACTTGTTGATTTGAGACCTTTCTTTTCTTTTTTTTGAGACGGAGTCTCACTCTGTTGCCCAGGCTGGAGTGCAGTGGTGCCATCTCAGCTCACTGCAAGCTCTGCCTCCCGGGTTCACACCATACTCCTGCCTCAGCCTCCTGTAGCGGGAACTCCAGGCACCCGCCACCATGCCAGGCTAATATTTTGTGTTTTTAGTAGAGACGGGGTTTCGTCGTGTTAGCCAGGATGGTCTCAATCTCCTGAACTTGTGATCCGCCCACCTCAGCCTCCCAAAGTGCTGGGATTACAGGCATGAGACACCGCGCCCTGCCAAGAGGCCTTTCTTTTTTTTATGGCATATTCCACTATAAAATTCTCTCTTAGTATTGCTTTTGCTGCTTCTGTAAGTTTTAGTGTGTTGTATTTTTGTTTCTTTTTTACAAATTATTTTGCAATTTTCCTTGTGATTCCTTCTTTGATTCATTGGTTATTTAAGAGCGTGTTGATTAAATTCTGCATATTCATGAATTTTCCAGTTTTTCTTCTGCTATTGATTTCTAGTTTCATTCTATTGTACTGGGAAAAATACTTGATATTATTTCAATCTGCTTAAAACTGTTAAGACTTGTTTAGTGGTCTAGTATGTGGTCTTTCTCGCAGAATGTTCCAACTGTGCTTGAGAAGAATGTGTATTCTGCCATTGTTGGGTGAAATGTTGTATGGATGTGTATTTGGTCCATTTGGTCTATGATGTTATTCATGTCCTCTGTCCCATTATTGATCTTCTGCTGGCTGTTCTACCCATTATTGAAAGTGGAGTATTGAATCCTACTATTATTGTATGCTGTTTATTTCTCCCTTGAATCCTGTCAATGTCTGCTTCACATATTTGAGAACACTGACGTTAGGTGTGTATATATTTATAATTATTATATTTTCCTGGTAAATGGACCAGGTTATTATATATTGTTCTTTGTACCTTGTGATATTTTTTACTTAATGACTATTTTTTTTCTGGTATAGATGTAGCCACCTATACTCTGTTTTTGTATACTCTCTTTTTGTTACAATTTGCAGGGAGTATCTTTTCTATTCTTTTACTTTCACCTTATATGTCTCCTTAGATTTAAAGTGAGTCTCTTGTACACAGCATATAGTAGAATTTTTTAATCCATTCAGCCAACCTGTCTTTTTATTGGGGAAACTAGTCTATTTACATGAAAGATATTACTAATATGGAAGAACTGCTATTGACATTTTATTCATTGTGTTTTTGTATGCCTTGTAGCTATTTTGTACCTCTTTCTCTCTGGCATCCTTCCTTTTTGTTTCATTGATTTTCTTTTTGGTAGTATATGCCTTGATTTCTTTTTCATTTTCTTTTGTGTATTTTCATTAGCTATTTTCTTTGTGGTTACTGAAAGGATCACATTTTCTTTTGTGTACATTCACAAGCTGTTCTCTTTGTGGTTACCATGGGGATCACATAAAACATCTTAAAGTTTCAACAATATATTTTAAACTGGTAACAACTTCAATCACATGCAAAAACTCTACTTCTTTTATGTCTTGCCTCCCACTTTATGTTTCTGATATTCCAAATTCTCTCTTGAGCATACTGTGCTGTGCACACTAGTTGAAGGGGGTATCACAAGTAAATATAATACACTTTCTTATCCACTTCAATACAGCTCTTCTTGGCTTTGGATTTACCTGGGGTGCTGCAACATAAGTTGTTTCTGGAGTTCCAAAAAAGGTAATTTGTTCCATATATTGTTGTTAAGTTGCTGTCTCTATTGGGGAACAAGGCCTAGGGCTCCCTATTCCACCATTTTGGTGACAACACTATTATCATAGTTTTAACTGAAGACACTAATTGTCTTCCTGACCAAGCCAAGAATTGTTTCAAAATTTCTTTTCCATCTTTTGAAGGGTGATTTCACAATTAATCATTAAAATGTGTCTTAAATATCTATCTTTAGTCTTGATGCTTAATTTAAGAACCTATTTTTGTTTCTCTTTTATCATTTAATTCCATGAAGAAACAGGTAAAAGTTAAACAAAAGACTAGATAATACTATACACTTTCCCTTCTCAGTCATTTCTTGGATGAGACAAATCAAAGTTAGGCAAGTAGTCTAGGAAATTAATAGTACAATGTTATCTGTGCCTCCAAATTAAGCCCTTTTTATCTCCAAACTGGATTCTGGCAGGCCATAGTCAAGGGCCTATTTATTTCTTTTTCCCTGAATTTTTTGTTCAGATGCTGTAATTTAAAAGACTCATGTTCTTACAGATTCAAGAATAGCCAAGTATTTTACTTGAAAATATCTGTCAGGCCAACATTTTATTTGGGAGCAGGAGTGAAAACTTCTGATCATGATTCTGTGACATGTAGATATCATGTAGTATAATTTAATTGTATCTTTCTGAGATTTTGTACTTACAAGTTTCATAGAAATCCATTTACAAATGAAAGGTTTTAAATTTGGAAACTTTTATTGGTTACCACTTTGAGACAATTAAACAAACTAAAGAACCATGGAAACATGAAGTCTACGCACTAAACTAGTCAGTGGCCTACTAACTAAAAATGAAATTAAATTTTCTGGCAGCAGCAAATGGATTAAAATGAAAAAAGAAAAGCCTGGAACCTGATGATAGCTTTACTGCTGAATTTTGCCAGACATTTAAAGAAGAACTGATACCAATCCTACTCAAACTATTCCAAAAAATTGAAGAGGAGGGAATACTTCCAATCACATTCTACAAGGCCAGTATTACCTTTATGCCAAAGCCAGACAAACACACAACAGAAAAAGAAAACTACAGGCCAATATCTCTGATTAATGTTGATGCAAAAATCCTCAACAAAATACTAGTAAATCAAATTCAACAACGAATTTAAAAAATCATTTAATATGACCAAATGAAATTTATTCCAGGAATGTAAGGATGGTTCACCATATGCAAATCAATCAGTGTGATACAACATATCAACAGAATGATACATCATATCAACAAAAACCATATGATAATTTCAAATAATTCTGAAAAAAATTCAATAAAAATCTACACCCTTCATGATAAAAAAAAAACTCCCAAAAAGATTGGTAAGGAAGGAATGTATGTAAACATAATAAAGCCATATACAACAGTCTTACAGCTAGTAACATTCTGAATGGGAAAAAACTGAAAGCTTTTCCTCTAAGATCTAGAAGAACATAAGGATGCCCACTTTCACTTCTATTATTCATCATAGCACTGGAAGTCCTAGACAGAACAATTAGACAAGAGAAAGAAATAAATGGCATCCAGATTGGGACAGGAAAAGTCAAATTATTCTTGTTCGCAGATGATATAATCTTATAATTTAGAAAAACCTAAGGACTCCACCAAAAAATTATTAGAGCTGATTGACAAATTCAGCAAAGTTGCAGGATACAAAATCAGTATACAAAAAACAGTAGCATTTCTATATGCCAACAGCAAACAATCTGAAAAAGAAATCAAGAATGTAACCCAATTTATAATTGCTACAAATAAAATACATAGAAATAAACTTAACCAAAGAAGTAAAAGATCTCTATAATAAAAACTGTAAAATACTGATGAAGGAAATTGAGGAGTACACAAAGAAATGGAAAGATATTTTATGTTTATGGGTTGGAAGAATCAATATTGTTACATCCATACTGCCCATATGGTAAGACTGTTGTATATGGCTTTATTATGTTTACATACATTCCTTCTTTACCAATCTTTTTGGGAGTTTTTTTATCATGAAGGTTGTAGATTTTTATTGAATGTTTTTTCAGAATTATTTGAAATTATCATATGGTTTTTGTTGATATGATGTATCATTCTGTTGATATGTTGTATCACACTGATTGATTTGCATATGGTGAACCATCCTTACATTCCTGGAATAAATTTCATTTGGTCATATTAAATGATTTTTTAAATTCGTTGTTGAATTTGATTTACTAGTATTTTGTTGAGGATTTTTGCATCAACATTAATCAGAGATATTGGCCTGTAGTTTTCTTTTTCTGTTGTGTGTTTGTCTGGCTTTGGCATAAAGGTAATACTGGCCTTGTAGAATGTGTTTGGAAGTATTCCCTCCTCTTCAATTTTTTGGAATAGTTTGAGTAGGATTGGTATTAGTTCTTCTTTAAATGTCTGGCAAAATTCAGCAGTAAAGCTATCATCAGGTTCCAGGCTTTTCTTTTTTCATTTTAATCCATTTGCTGCTGCCCAAATGGATTTAATCCATACTGCCCAAAGCAATTTAATCCATACTGCCCAAAGCAATCTACAGATTCAATGTAATCCCTATCAAAATACCAACAACATTCTTCACAGAAATAGAAAAAAATGATTCTAATATTTGCATGGAATCACAAAAGACCCAGAATAGACAAAGCCATCCTGAACAAAAAGAAGAAAACTGGAGGAATCAAATTACCTGACTTCAAATTATACTACAGAGCTATAGTAACCAAAACAGCATGATACTGGCCTAAAAGAAAGACATATAGACCAATGGAACAGAATAGAGAATCAGAAATTAACCCATACATCCACAGTGAACTCATTTTTTTTTTGAGACGGAGTCTCGCTCTGTTGCCCAGGCTGGAGTGCAGTGGCGTGATTTCAGCTCACTGCAAGCTCTGCCTCCTGGGTTCCCACCATTCTCCTGCCTCAGCCTCCCATGTAGCTGGGACTACAGGCTCCACCACCCTGCCTGGCTAATATTTTTGTATTTTTAGTAGAGATGGGGTTTCACCATGTTAGCCAGGATGGTCTCAATCTCCTGACCTCATGATCCGCCTGCCTCGGCCTCCCAAAGTGCTGGGATTGCAGGAGTGAGCCACCACGCCCAGCCAGTGAACTCATTTTTTACAATGATGTCAAGAACATACATTGGGGAAATAGTTTCTTTAATACATGGTGCTTGGAAAATGGGATATCCATATGCAGAAGAATGAAACGAGACCCTTATCTCTCACCATATACAAAAATTAAATCAAAATGAATTAAAAACTTAAATGTGAGACCTGAAACTATAAAACTTCTAAGAAAATTGGGGAAACTCTCTAGAACATTGGTCTGGGCAAAGAATTCTTGATAATACCTGAAAAGCACAGGCAACCAATGCAAAAATGAACAAATGGGATTATATCAAGTTAAAAGGCTTCTGCACAGCCAAGGAAATAACAAAGTGAAGAGACAATCCACAGAATGGGAGAAAATATTTGCAAACTATCCATCTGACAAGAGTTTGATAACCAGAATATATAAGGAGCTCAAACAAGTCAATAGGAAAAAAATCTAATAATCCAATTTTAAAATAGGCCAAAGATCTGAAGAGAAATTTCTCAAAATAAGACATACAAATGGCCAACAGGTATATGAAAAATGTTCAACATTATTAATCATCAGAAAAATGCAAATAAAATATGAGATATCATCTAACCCTAGTTAAAATGGCTCTTATCCAAAAGATAGACAATAAAAAGTGCTTGTGAGGATGTGGAGAAAGAGGAACCCTCATACACTATTGGTGGGAATGTAAATTAGTACAGCCACTATGGAGAAAAGTATGGAATTTTCTCAAAAAACTACAAATAGAACCAGCATATGATCCCACCTTTAGGTATATACCCCAAAGAAAAGAATCAGTATATTGAAGAGATATCTGCACTCCCACGTTTATTGAAGCACTGTTCACAATAGTCAAGATTTGGAATCAACCTACTTGTCTAACTACAGACAAATGAATTTTTTAAGATGTGGTGCATATACAGAAGGGAATATTATTCATCCATAAAAACATGAAATCCTGTCATTTGCAACAGCATGGATGGAACTGGAGGGCATTAAGTTAAGTGAAATAAGCTAGGCACAGAAAGACAAATTTTGCAATGTCTCACCCATATGTGGGTGCTAAAAATTAAAGCAATTGAACTCATGGAGATATACAGTAGAATGATGGTTACCAGAGGCTGAGAAGGGTAACAGGGAGTAGAGGGAAAAGTAGGGCTGGTTAATGGGTAGGAAAACATAATGAGATAGAATTAAAAATATCTGGTATGTGATAGCGCAATAGGGTGACTATAGTCAACAATAATTTAGTGTATATTTTTAAATAACTAAAAGAGTAGAATTGGAATATTCCTGCCACAAAGAAATGATTAATGGTTGAGATAATTACTACCCCAATTACCTTAATAGTGTGCCTGTATCAAATCATCACATGTACCCCGTAAACATATGGACTATTTACCCATAAAAATTAAAAATTAAAAATGGAGACAATAGTCACCCTGAGTCGAATTACCTGATGCTTCAGAACCACCAACTGCTGCTTCTAACTTATTCTAGTATCCACTTTCTTCCCCTGTTGCTGAAATTTACAGTTGAAATAAAATGAATCTGCTTAATTTTATGCCTGTTTTGCTTGATTCAGTTACCAGTGTGGATTATTTCTTTCCAATGGGAAGCTATTTGAGTGCACATAATTACTACACCACGTTTCTTGTGTGACCTCAGGCGATTTTCATCAGGAACAGCATTAAGCTGGTGAGGAGATAACAGTGTTCTCCTTTTCATTGCCTTCCTCTGGGTAAACTGATTTGCACATGGCTAAATGGTTTTCCCTGGTTTCTCTATGCAGACACTTTTCTACAAATTATGCATGATGCTAGGTATAGTCCAAAACCAGGCAAAAGCAGCAGGCTATAATTTGTTCACCCATAATTTGCATTTCACTGCATAAAGTGATTTCAACTGCACCAAAATTTTTTCATTCAGAGTGAATAACTAGATTCTCAAAGATGAAATGTTTGAGCCCCCGATTCCAGGGAAATTGAACACCATTTCTTCAACTTTCAGTATTTTGACTTTTTTTGTCCTTAAGCCTTAAATAGCAGCTTGATGTGCAACAAAATAAGCATTTTAAATTTATACCCACCAAAAACATACTGAAAGTATCTGAATTATGTCCAATCTTTCTCCTCCACCCCTCATTTTCTATACCGAGGTAGCAACATAAGGTGAGACTTTAAAGAACTAAAGAGATTGGACCAAGAAGAAAAGAAAAGGAAGCTGAATGCTCGAGTTTACTGTTTATAAACCACATGTTACCCTAATTTGGCATTTGGCAAGCACATTGAATGCCCATTTCATTTGGCTTTTTCCATCCCTTTCTGCATGGATAAATCCACTTTCACCTGCAGGGTTTCTGTGTGTGTGTGTGTATGTGCGCATTTGCTGGAACTTCAGCTTTTTTCTCTCTTCTGACTGATTTTTCTCCTCCTACTCTATTCATAACTCTTACTTCTTACAATTTTTAGTTCAGAGACTAACAGAATAAGAAATCCTTGGAGATCTCTTAACCCTTTCATTTTGAAGATGAGAATATTGAATACTATTGATATGCCTGACTCAGTGAGAAATTATTTTTATTTTTTTCTAAAAGGCCAATATCTGAAATGCTGCACTGAATAATACGTTTCTCCCCTCATTGATACATGAAGCTTCTTTTATCAAATATCCTACCTAGTCTGTTTTAAAACTCTCTATCTTGTTTTAATAAATTATCTATCTATCCTTGTTCCTTATCATACTATTTTAACAATAACATTTTAATCACAGGAACCTTTTCCTCCAAACTTATCTGTGCAATTTATGCTTGCTGTTTACCTGGTAGGATATTTTCAAGTCAATTTTTTAAGTAGTAAAAAAACAAAAACAAAGTCCAGTTGAAATTATTATTGGAATCAAAATTAAATTACACATTATTTTTTAAAGAAATTCAATCTGGCCTGGCACGGTGGTGCATACCTGTAATCCCATCACTTTGGGAGGCTGAGGTGGGCAGATCACCTGAGGTCAGAAGTTTAAGACCAGCCTGCCAAACATGGTGAAACCCCGACTCTACTAAAAATACAAAAAATTAACCAGGCTTGTTGGCGCATGCCTGTGATCCCAGCTACTTGGGAGGTTGAGGCAGGATAACTGCTTGAGCCCATGAGGCAGAGGTTACAGTGAGCAGAGATCACACCACTGCACTCCAGCCTGGGTGACAGAGCAAGACTATGTCTCAAAAAAAAAAAAAATTCAATCTTTGCCATGTTTAGTTTTTCCATCAAAGATACAGAATGCCTACTCTATTATTCAAAGCTTCATTTACTTTTCATTCTCTCGTGTTAGTCTAATATAGTCTTCATGATTACCAATCCTATGTTTGTATTTTTTGGCAATATTATTTATGTTGTCTATGTTTCCATTATATCTTTTAATTAAGATTTTAGGCCCGGCGTGGTGGCTCACGCCTGTAATCCCAGCACTTTGGGAGGCTGAGGCAGGCAGATCATGAGGTCAGGAGTTTGAGACCAGCCTGGCCAACATGGTGAAACCCTGTCTCTACTAAAAATACAAAAATTAGCAGGGCGTGCTGGCGAGCACCTGTAATCCCAGCTACTCGGGAGGCTGAGGCAGGGAGAATCACTTCAACCCGGGAGGCAGAGGTTGCAGTGAGCCTTGATTGCACCACTGCACTGCAGCCTGGGGTACACAGCGAGACTCTGTTGCAAAAAATAAAAAAAAAAAATAAAGATTTTATCGATACAGGTATGCAAGTTCTTATTTTTTGTGCAAACTTGTTTCTAGTCACTTTACCAAACTTATTGCTGGATAGAGGTTTTCATTAGCTAATTCTCTTGGATGTCTGAGCTTTAAAGTTATATTATTTGAAAAAACTTAAATTATCTACACAAAAGTTCTGGAATCTTCACCATCTTGCTTTGTCCTGCCAGGCCTGCCTCTGCCCTCCAGAATAAAAGGGCCCTGGGAGTGATGTTGGAAGAGTTTCGCCATCCTTTACCCCAAATGGGCCTCTGGTCCATGGAATATTCCTGGAGGGGACATTTGTGGTGGCCCGTGGAAGACAGCGGACCAGTGAACAGTGTAGCAATGAAGGTAAAATAAGTTGTATTTCCAAAATAGTTTTTAATATAGCATCACATACTTCCACAACAATAATTAATTGGTCTCTTTGTTTTAATAGTTAAACGTTTATTTCTGCTGTTTCATGTTTTATCACAAGGACCAAAAGACCCAGAATGATTTGAATGTAGAACTGGGAACACAGGGAGCCTATAGGAGAATTCCCCCAAATGAACAGGTGGCTAAAGGCAAATGCCTCTCCTGACACATCAGAGCTGGGGCAGTCCCAAATGAGAGCTCCCTGGGGAGGCCCCAGGCTGTGGGGCGGCCACCTCTGGAGTGTGGATTCCACAGGAACTCAGAGGAGAGGTAAGGGGGAGGCCTTAAGGCCCCGGAACTGAGATGATGGAAAACCAGAGTCTGTGCTGTTTCATGGAGCACCTGGGGGAATCTGGAATGGGATCCTCTATCCCATGTCACCTATAAGAGAGATCATTGGCTTGGCTTTCTTTCCAGAAGCTGGGAAATATTCCTTTTATTTTATTATGTTTGCATTTATATTTTTCTTTTTTTTGGGGGGCAGTTTTTTAGTTTTGTAAAGAGTGTTCTGAATGGTAGAGAGAGGAGGTGGTGTGCGGTGTTTCAGCTTGTACTCAAAGCTCCAGCACCGTATTTCGCCTGCGCTACACCTACGGTGCTGAACCTCGACTGGCACAGCATTTGTCAGACTCCTCCTGGATGGACATTCCACGTCACTGACTATAAATTTCAAAAGGCTCCACAGAAAACTTCACCACACCAGGGTCACATTCTCAGAATAGAAGCACTCTTCTAACAGTCACATGAAATGAACATCAATGTCCCAGATGTTCCTACGCACCCTTGAGTCACTTTCTATTAGAGGAATAATCACGATTTGCCTTCCTTGATGTCTGAATTTATTTATATTGTAATGTTACTTATCTACTCACTTCACAGGTGTGGATGAGTCACAAATGGCAGCTAGAATCTTGACTAACTGCCTCTCACTGATGAATAAAACGGCAAGCTTTTGTAGGTTGAGCAAGGTTATTTGGAAGAGAAGTAATCTTTTTCTGTGTAGGCAAAATGCATGCAGTTTGTCCAGCCTAAGAGAAAGTGAGAAACATTGAGAAAATTAGACATTTAGCTACAAAGCTAAGGAAATTAAACATTAAGCTACAAAGTTAAGGAAATAATTATGAGTTATTAGATAATTCCAGTAGGGAAACCCCAATTGGCTTGGTGTCATCATTATGACAGTAAACTCAGTTTAAAAATTGTTATAGTAGTTTTATTCACAGGAGACCAAAACTGCAAACAACCCAAATCAAAACTTGAATGGAATACTATATAGCAATGAAAAATAATGGATCACTGCCATTCAAAAGAATATGAATGACTCTCAAAGGCATAACGTTGAGAAAAATAACACAGATCTGGAGAGTATTGTAATTACCACTGCATACAGCATGGGGGAGGAGGTAATACATGCAATGGGCCCCTGGGGAACTTTCTAGGTGCTAGAAATGTTGTATATCTTTATATGAGAAGTGGTTGTATGCTGTATAAGTATGTAAAAGTTCATTGAATTGTACATGTAAGATTAGTGTACTTTCTTATACTCTGTGTAAGTTATACCGCATTAATAATAATAATGCCAGTCCTTGAGGAAATGGTTAATTCCGGGTCTGGGCAATAGAAGTAGTCGGTGAACAGTTACCTTGTTATGTCAGAAATCAAGGGAGCACTGAAAGCACAAGAGGGCTGCGCCAGAGCAACACGAGAGCCCGCTTGAAGAGGTTCACGTGGGAGTGCATGGGTTTTTCTCAGAGAGAAGAGGAGGATAACTTCTTCACCAAAAAATACTAGTCCTTCTGAGAAATCTTCTCTGACAACCGTCCTCAACAGCTACTCTCCATCTCACTACCAGCTTCAGCTTCCCTCACAGCACTTACCACGGTCTGGCATTATACTACATATCTACATCTATTGATTGTCCTAACTTGTCTTGTTTAGCTCCCCAAAGAGACTATGAGCTCCATGAGGGCAGCGACTTTGTCTGGTTCTCTAAGGTATCACCAAAACCTAAAACAGCACCTGTCACATGGGAGGCACTGGATAAAAGTTTGCTGAGTGAATAAGAGCAGAAAAGGAACTCTAAGCCACAGCATCATACCCACAAGATGTTTAAAAGTTGACCTGTACACGTTTTGCAGTTTACATACTATGCTAGATGATTTGCCCTTGTCTTTGTTTTTCTTTCCCTTAATCTTCTCTGCTCAATGAGACTGGCCTGGAGGGCAGCCTCCAAGTGTTTTGTTTGTTTGTTTGAGACGAGTCTCGCTCTGTCACCCAGGCTGGAGTGCAGTGCCGCGATCGGGGCTCACTGCAAGCTCCGCCTCCCCGGTTCACGCCATTCTCCTGCCTCAGCCTCCCGAGCAGCTGGGACTACAGGCGCGCACCACCACGCCCAGCTATTTTTGTAGTTTTAGTAGAGACAGGGGTTTCACCATGGTAGCCAGCATGGTCTCGATCTGACCTCGTGATCCTCCCGCCTCAGCCTCCCAAAGTGCTGGGATTACAGGTATGAGCCACCGCGCCCGGCCTCCAAGTGTTATTATTATCCTGCACCCTGCACTGCACCTAGCCCAGTGGTTTTCAACCAGGGGCATTTTCCCCCGGAGAGCATTTGGCAATGTCTGGAGATTTTTTTTGTTGCCCACCTGGAGGTGGAGGGTGCTACTGGCCCCTAGTTAGTTGAGGCCAAGGATGCTGCAGAACTCCTAGGAACAGGACAGCCCCCACAACACAGTACCGAGCAGCCCAAAGTGTAAATACTCCTGTGGCAGAGAAACCCTCCCTCTAGACCAGTATCAGACATAATGTGAGTGCCTAAATAGCCGTTCATTGAATAATAAACTCTAATTTAATATCTTTAACATGACAATTTTCCTTTCATCTTTCTAAATAAGCAGCAATTTCTTCAATGCTCTTGAGTCTGAGGTTTTAGACAGAGTTTTGCAGTATGTGACACCTGAGTTATAAAATTGTATGTTTCATTGGAAATATCAGAGAAACTAAAACAGTATCTATTGGGTCTCATGATTTCATCTTACGTATGTTTCAATAACAAGTGTATTCCTTCTTTGAATGTACCAAGATCTTTTCCAACTCAAACAAAAACTACCATCTTATTACTTCCTCGTCCAGGATCTGCACCCTAATTCCCAGTGAATTAGGTGCACTCTGATGATGCCCAACCAATCGTCCACCGGTTTTTTATTTCCATGGGCCTAGGGACAGCTCAAGGATTAATTGTGCTTTTAAAATGCTGGATTAATTTTTATTTTTAAATGTTTCAGTAATACTCTGTTTTACCTGAATGGCATGAAAATAGTAGTGACTGACCAAAGGAGGTAGAAGTACTCACCACTGCTTTTCTAATCTGCGTAATACAAAATCTTATCTCATTTTCCTCACAGTGAGAAAAAGGTCAGGCTGTCTGTCAATTTCCTTTTTTTTTTTCTTTTTTTTTTTTTCCTTTTTTTTTGAGACGGAGTCACGTTCTGTCACCCAGGCTGGAGTGCAGTGGCGCGATGTTGGCTCACTGCAAGCTCTGCCTCCCGGGTTCATGCCATTCTCCTACCTCAGCCTCCCAAGTAGCTGGGACTACAGGCGCCTGCCACCAAACCTGGCTAATTTTTTTTTATCTGTAGTAGAGATGGGGTTTCACCATGTTAGCCAGGATGGTCTCGATCTTTTGGCCTCGTGATCCGCTTGCCTCAGCCTCCCAAACTGCTGGGATTACATGCGTGAGCCCCGCGCCTGGCCGGCTGTCTGTCAATTTCTATAACTGTCATCACCCCACCTCCACTCTGCACTTTGACTGTCTTACAGCTGCGAGGCAAAGTTGAAAAATTACAACCTGAACCACTTTGTGAAAATTTAGCTGCGAAACCAAAAATAGCTGAAAACCCTCCGGCTACTCCTGTGTTTATCATTCTTGCCCTACTAGCAGATAGCCTCTGTAGCTAAGGTTTCTCCCCCTTTTATTTAGAGTCTGTCAGAGTTTATATCTTCTCCTCCAGGAGAGGATCCTGACCTGAATTAATGTAGTGTGAAATGAGAAGGGAGAAACAGATTAGAATGCATTTGGAACTATTCATTCTAGCCGCCCACAGGAGTTTTGTATTAGGAAAGGATGAAGATATATTCCAAACATTCTAAGCTAATAACTCCAGTGGTGCCCAAGGAGTGTTGAAGATCAACTACTCAAAGCATTATAGGAAGCAGCATTTCCAAAAATGATTCTAAGAACATTTCTCTTTTTATATACTATGAATCCAATAAGAAAAAGTGTTTCACGGAGTGTGTTAACCAGGGTTTCTCAGAAAGCAGAGCTTAAAGAACAGGCTTATTGGTACTCTTTTGTAACAATGTGCAATCCAGGCTGCAAAAGCTAGGGGCAAGGGCAGTGAGGTGGAAAGACGGGAGATTCACACAATGTACAATCGAGGCTGCAGAAGCTAGGGGCAAGAGCAGCGAGGTGGAAAGACGGGTTATTCACATAAGGAGGAGGCGATACTGAGCTGCCCGTGCCAAAGTGCAACCAACAGATTCTTGACTGTGTGGGGCCTTTTCCTGAGACGCCAATAAGCCCAGTCTCGGAAGTCAGTGAGGAGATGGAAAGAAAGAGAACACATCCAGCAGTTTGTCTCTCCCACAAGCTAAACCTTCCCCCAGGGGGCATGGCCTCCCCCACACTCCTAGATTACTCCTAGGTGGACACCAAGTGGGGTCTGGCAGCATACAAGACCTCCAACCCACTGTGTATTAGTCCATTTACACACTGCTATAAAGAACTGCCTGAGACTGGATAATTGATGAAGAAAAGAGGTTTAATTGACTCACAGTTCCATGGGCTTAACAAGAAGAGTGGCAGGGAGGCCTCTGAAAATTTACCATCATGGTGGAAGATGAACAGGAAGCAAGGACCTTCTTCACATGGTGGCAGGAGAGAGAGAGAGAGCAAGGTGGGGAAGTGCCACACTTTTAAACCATCAGATCTCATGAGAACTAACTCACTGTCACAAGAACAGCAAGGGGGAAATCTGCCTCCATGATCCAATCACCTCCCACCAGGCCCCTCCTCTGACACATGGGGATTACAATTCGGCATGAGATTTGGGTGGGGACACAGAAACAAACCATATTTCACTGGGAACCCAGTATGGTTTTCAACGATGCTTAGCTGACTTGTTTTCGTCCCATCTCAGTACACCTCCTACCTCTCCACACGCATGGTGATGAAAAAAAATTTTAACTAGAAAATTTTCATGTTGGCAAATGTCTGAAAAATCACCTACTCTGGGTCTACCTTTTACAAATGAGGAACCTCAGATTCAGACATCTGTATCTGCAGAATCTGGACATGTTGTTCAAGTAACTACGTGTAATTTAGAAATGTCTGGGGACTAGTTTATAAAGTATGCTAGGCCGGGCACAGCGGCTCACGCCTATAATCCCAGCACTTTGGGAGGCCGAGGTGGGTGGATCACAAGGTCAGGAGTTCGAGACCAGCCTGGCCAACATGGTGAAACCCCCACCTCCACTAAAAATACAAAAATTAGCCGGGTGCCTGCAATCCCAGCTACTCAGGAGGCTGAGGCAAGAGAATCACTTGAACCTGGGAGGCGGAGGTTGCAGTGAGCCGAGATCACACCACTGCACTCCAGCCTGGCTATAGAGCAAGACTCCATCTCGGAAAAAAAAAAAAAAAAAAAAGGGCCAGGCACAGTGGCTCATGCCTGTAATCCCAGCACTTCGGGAGGCCAAGACAGCTGGATCATGAGGTCAGGAGATCGAGACCATCCTGGCTAACACAGTGAAACCCCATCTCTACTAAAAATACAAAAAAATTAGCTGGACATGGTGGTGGGCGCCTGTAGTCCCAGCTACTCGGGAGGCTGAAGAAGGAGAATGGCATGAACCCGGGAGGCGGAGCTTGCAGTGAGCCGCGATCACGCCACTGCACTCCAGCCTGGGCGACAGAGCCAGACTCCATCTCAAAAAAAAAAATAAATAAATAAATAAATAATAAAAATAAATAAATAAATAAATTTTTTTTAAAAAGTGAAAGTGAGGCATTTATTGCAGGGGCCAAGCAAGGAGAATTGGGCAGGTCATGTTTAAGACCTGAACTCCCCAATGGCTTAAAATAAGGGCTTTTAAAGATAGGGAGGCAGAAGTTACAGACGAAGTCGTAAATCAATACATGAAGTCTCTACATTGGTTTGGACCCCAAAAGCCAAGTCATCTTCAAGCAGGTGGTGGGAGGGCCACAGGTCATAAGTGGATGCAAAGATGTTCTCCTCTGTGGATGGTTAACAGGTGACGCTTTGTCTAAAACTCTGGGGTCAGTAGAAAAGAATGTTAGCTCTGGCCACCAGGCCCCTCAGGAAAAAATTTATAACAAAGAAGAGTCAGAGTTCAGTCCCCAGTTCCCTCTTATCTGAGGTCCAAGAGCCATGGATGGCCTTTTTCATTTGGTGGGGTCCAGGTTTCTGAAAAACTACTCAGGGACACAGGTTAAGATGTTTTCTTTAGTTTCTGTAAGGCACCAAACATTTTGTGGCTGTAACTTCCTTGGGTATTGTTTGAAGCCACTATTACTTTCTTGCTTACCAAGTTGCTCATCTACTCCTCAGGACTAGCTGGGTGCCTCAACTTTCCCTTGAAGGAACTCAAGAATTTCCTTCATTTCCATGCTTGGGGGACCCGGCAGACCCCAAGAGGGATCCCTGCTCTGTCTCAAATGACAGAAAGTCTTCAAATTTTGTACGTCAAAATGACAATTAGCTAAAGTGAACTTGACAAGGGCTTCATATATCGAAACAGTATTTTCAAAAATAAAATAGACCAAAAACAGCAACAACAATTTTAAAAGATCACATCTTTCTATATTAGAAGCAGGTAATGTTAGATTCTGAGACAGGGCAAGGGCTAGTTACTATTTCGTTAGGCAAGAGGGCCGACAGCTCTGTGGCTGAAGCACATTGGAATGAAGGCCCCAGCCCCACCCAGCCCCTCTCTGGAGACAGCCGGGCAGCTCTTTGCACAGTGTCTGCCAAACAGCACATCAGTGTACGGCTCACCACGAAAAGATGCCAGGCAGGTCCAGCGGGGAGATTGAAAGTGGGGTTTTGGCAGCTTCAGAATTCTCGTTGTTTCAAACAGCCTAATAGATGTGCAAATTGAATTGAATCTCTCCGATGGGTCTGTGTCTGCAGAGAATCTGCAAGCTCTAAAAGGGGATTAAATTATATCAGTCAGAACTAGCTACTTATCTAATATGTTGGTTTTTAGTGGCAGTGGGTCCATGGCCAAATAAAATGGCACACTTGTTTTTTTTTGAAGGTGTTACAATTAATTGCCAGCAATAGAGCCTTTTTAAAAAAGTGAGACTTCTGAGACTTCTGGTTTTAGCTGCAACATGTAAGGAATTTAAAAGTTGTCACTACTGCCCTTACAATAAGAAAAAAGCTGAGAAAAATAGAAATTAATTACTTTTCTTGGACTTATCAGAGAATTGAGGTCACAGAGAGTGACCATAACCCCAGAATCTGGAGAGACAGACAAAATCACAGCTGAGATCAGCTTCCCGAGAGCAGAGGCTACTGGAGCCATAAACTAGCAGGAATACTAAAACGGTAATTGTGATGAATTGCTGTTGGCTGATTGTGGACCAGAGTGTGGGGAAGAAAACCCTGAAGGCTACAACATTGAGACGACCTCACTGCTTCTGTGGGTGTTACCTCCAGAAACCCCACCAGGTTCTCACAGTAAAAAGCAAAGAAACATCACTTCCTGCCTCTGTCAGTGGGAGGGAAAAAGTAGTGGCTTTGAAATATGCCCAGAGCATTTTCCATAACAAAAGCCTAGTCTCCAGGAGAAAAGATGTCACCAGAGCCTTATCTCACCTAGGAGGAAGGGCATTTCCCCCACTTGAGCCCCCTTTAGATTTCCTGTCTCATCAAGAGTGAGGGGTTGGAGTGGGGGACACACAAAACTTGTGAAGATCACATCCAGGGTCAGGAGTTACATAAAACTAAGATTTGATCCTCAGATTATAAACACTTACCCTCACTTTCTCTCCCCTATACCTTATCATTAATCAACAGGGCTCCATCACAATAATAGTGGAAAACAGCTGAAAAGGCCACAAAGCACAATTCTTACGAAAAACTAAAGACAATAGGAGAGAAAAACAAGGACACCAGAGAAATCTGAAGCCTTAGCTACAGCTACAGCAGGCACTAAACTCAGCCGGCTTTCAGCCAGATTAATAGAAAACCTCACACTACAGGCCTCTTTCCTTCGGTTCCTTTTGTCCAATATATCAAATGTGGCTTTCAACAAAAAATTATAGGGCTACTAGAAGTTAAGAAAAAACAGTCTGAAGAGACAAAGCAAGCATCGGAAGCAGACTCAGATATGACACAGGTTTTGGAATTATTAGACAGGGAATTTAAAATAATAGGCTCTGATGATAAAAGTAGACAACATGCAAGAAAAGATGGGTAATGTAATCACAGAGATGGAAAATCTAAGAAACAATCAAAAAGGAAATTATAGAAATAAAATAACCACTAATCGAAGTGAAACTGCCTTTGATGGGCTCATCAATAGACTAGATGTGGCCAAGGATAGAATCAGAAATCTTGAAGACATGTCAATAAAAACTCCCCAAACTAAAATGAAGAGAAGAAAAGAATGAAAAACACAAACAGAAAATAATATTCAGCAACCGTGAGAAGATTCCAAATGGTATAACCTAGCATAATTAAAATAATGGAGAAAAAAGATAGATCATTTTCCAAAATTAATGACAGACACCAAATCACAGATCTGGGAAGCTTAGAGAATACCAAGCAGGATTTAAAAAAAAAAAAAAACCTATGCCTAGGTATATCATGTTCAAACTTCAGAAAACCAAAACAAAGAGAAAATATTGAAAGATGCCAGAGGAAAAACACCTGACTCATAGAAGTACAAGGATAATAATTACAGTGAACTTCTGGCCAGAAATATGGGAGTAAGAGAAGAGTGGAAGTGAAATATTAAGGTAAAGTAAAAATAAAGAGGTGGAGAAAGATATACCATGATAACACTAATCAAAAGACAACTGGAGTAGCTGTATTAATTTCAGACAAAGCAGTCTTTAGAGAAAGGAAAATTATCAGGTTTAAAGATGAACATTGCAAAATGATAAATGATTCAGTTCTCTAAGAAGGCATAACAATGCTTAATATGTATGCACTTCACAACAAAGTACAAAATACAGGAGTCAAAACATGATAGAACTGCAAGAAGAAACAGGCAAGTCCACTATTAGAGTTAAAGGTTTCAACACCCCTCATTCCGTAATTGATAGATTCAGCAGACAGAAAATCAATAAGAATATAGTTGACCTGAATAATATTATCAATAAATTTGACCCAATTGACATTTATAAAATAATCTCTTCAATAACAGCAAAATACACAATCTTTTCAAGCTTACATGGGACATTCACCAAGACCATTGTCTATAAAACAGACCTCAACAAGTTTAAGAGGCCAGAAATCATACAAAGTATTTTCTCAGGCCATGATGACATGTAACTAGAAATCAATAACAGAAAAAGAGCTGGAATCCTCAAATATTTAGAGATTAAACAGCACACTTCTAAATAACACAAAGATCAAAGAAGAAATCTCAAGAGAAATCAAAAAATATTTTGAATAAATGAAAATATACAACTTATCACAATTTGTGAGATCCAGTAAAAGCAGTTTTTAGAGAAAAAATTATACATTGAATGCATAGTTCAGAAAAGAAGAAAGATCCAAAAAATTGTTTTAAATCTAAGCATCTACTATAGGGACTAGAGAAGGAAGAGTAATTTAAGCCTGAAGCAACCAGGACAATGAAAATAATAAAAATTAGAGCAGAAATCAATAAAATTAAAAACAGAAAAATAATAAAGATCAGCCCGGGTGTGGTGGCTCATGCCTGTAATCCCAGCACTTTGGGAGGCCGAGGTGGGTGGATCACGAGGTCAGGAGTTCAAGACCAGCCTGGCCAACATAGTGAAACCCTGTCTCTACTAAAAATACAAAAATTAGCCGGCCATGGTGGCGTGTGCCTGTAATCCCAGCTACTTGGGAGGCTGAGGCAGGAGAATCACTTGAACCTGGTAGGCGGAGGTTGCAGTGAGCCTAGATTGTGCCACTGCACTCCAGCTTGGGCAACAGAGTGAGACTCTGTCTCAAAAATAGTAATAATAAAATAATAATAAAGATCAGTGAAACCAAAAGTTAGTTCTTTGAAAAGAAAAAGAAAATTGATAAACCTCTCACTAAGATAGCAAAGAAAAGAGAAGACACAAATTACTAACACCAGAAACGAAAGACTGACTTCTGATCAAATATTAAATATATATGTTATCAAAAACTCTATACTCACAAATGTGTTAACTTAGGTAAAATGGCTGAGTTCCTTAAAAATACAAACTACCAAGACTCACACACTAGAAACAGATACTCTGAATAGGTCCATATATGTTAAGAAATTGAATTAATAACTAATAATGGCTTACTAAAAGAGAAAGAACTAAGACTAGATTTTGCCACTGGTGAATTCTACAATACATTTAAGGAAGAATGTACACCAATTCTCTACAATCTCTTCCCAAAAATAGAAGCAGAGGGAATACTTTCTAACTCATTCTATGAGGTCAGAATTACCCTGCTGATTTTGATATTTTATCAGAATCAAATAAATAAACAGGAAGGAAAATTTCACAAAAATTAACTCAAAATGGATTATGTACCTTAAAGTAAAACACAAAACTATGAAGCTAGAAAAAAAATTGGAGAACATCTGAGTGTCCTTTGGGTTAGCTTTGAGTTCTTAGATATAACACCAAAAGCATAGTCCATGAATTAAAAAATGGGTAAGTTGGACTTAATTAAAATTAAAAATGTCTGCTCTGTGAAAGACACTGTTTCTTGTTTTTTGTTTTTAAGACAGAGTCTCGCTCTGTCACTCAGGTTGGAGTGCAGTGGCGCGATCTTGGCTGCCTCCTGGGTTCAAGCAATTCTCCTGCCTCAGCCTCCCAGGTAGCTGGGACCACAGGCGCCTGCCACCACGCCCGGCTAATTTTTGTATGTTTAGTAGAGATTGGGGTTTCACCATGTTGGCTAGACTGGTCTCGAACTCTTGACCTCAGGCTATCTGCCAGCCTTGGCCTCCCAAAGTGCTGGGATTACATACGTGAGCCATGGCACCCAGCCAACACTGTTAATAAAAATAGCCACAGATCTGTAGCTGCCATCAGTTTCAAAATGAAGATTAGCTCAATCTTTAAACATTTTCAGAGATTCATGATATCATTAAACTTGAGTCAATCCAGACAATTGAGTAAATACCCATGGCCACAACAGTCATTTTATTATATCGATGACATACTTTTTAAAATTACAACCTTTCCTTTGTTAGATGTAAGAATTTTTGCTATAGTTTTCATATTTTGCTCTCACTTTTAGAAGTACTTGATTAATATCTAACATTATATTAGCAAAATTATAAGCATTTTTGTGAGCTCTTGGTGAGAAAATAACACTGGAAATACAGTGATGTAATCTGAATTCAACTCCTACTTTGTCATTTCCCAGCCATGTGACACTCGGAGATCCATTTCTTCTCACTGGCTCTATGCACTTCACCTATGCAATGGTGGTGAGAAATGCAATGATATGCAAGGTCTCCACTATCCCAAACACCCTATGATTCTATTCATCACATCATTTTGATAAATGTAATTGACATGTATATGAGTTGTTCAGAAATGGTAACCATTATTAGAAAAACCACTGTCACTCATTCAATCCAGACTTACTGTGAATGAGTTATTGTTCTGAGCACTGAAGTAATGGAATGATGTTGAATAAACAAGGTATGCTGCCTGACCCCACAAAGCTTACACTCTATTGGGCATATCATACTCGAGTAATGAAAACACAAGACCAGACATTTTGAATGGAAACAGCCATAGGTAGGATAGGAGCACAGAAGAGTTCATTCCAATTAGATGGAATGTAAGGGAAAGGGTACACAGAGAAATCTGTTTCTCTAATACTAAGTATTTGCAAAATGATTTATGAGCACTGATAGTAATAACATTGTATGAATAGTAAGGCTTTTAACTTATTAAAATACCTACTTCTGATCATTGTTCCCTCATAACAGTGTCTTAAAATAGAGAAGGCAGCCATGATCAGCACCATTTGAAATAGGCAGAAACTGAGACTAAAGACAGTTAAATACATGACATGATTTTATAATTACTGGCTAAAGTGAGGTCTGAAACTTAAGATCCAGCTATGGTCACTGCTCACCCCTTCCCTCTGTAGAGAGACATTATTCCAGATGTGACTCAGTCCCCCTGGGAACTTGATTAAGTTTCCACTTCAATTGGATGAAGTGCCCACGTTGAGCACAGCTGACTCTTATGCTCATAACTAAACCATCCTTATTGTAGCTATAAAGTAATGAGATGCTAATATGTAATTTATCTCTTACAACTACTATGCAAACTTAGTTTCCTTATTGCCATTTTAAACATGAAGGAACTAAACTCAGACAAATGATGCAACTTGCCAAAGCCCCTCATGCAGCATGGAGCAGAGCTGGCTCTGTCCACCTCTGCGGCTCACTGCTCTCTCTAGGGCCTCTGCCCAGCTTATCACATGCACTCTGCCTTCAAGACCCTCGACAAATCCACAGGATCAGTGGGCAGGAATTCACGGGCAGAGGGGATTGAGGGAGGATACTCCCAAGGACAGGCCCAAAGCTAACTCCCGCCATGTATGCTAAACCAAAAAGGTGCAGAGAGGCTTTTAGAAAAAAATGTCACCTTACAATTATTTGAGTGTTTCTAGTGTGAATTCTGGATGCATAAATAATAGTAATAATCATAATAACAACTTGAGTTCTGACATGAACAAAATGGAACTGTACTGGTCAGAAGGAATTCCTGGAGATTATTTTGAATTCTAAGGAAATATGAATCCATGAGTTTAATATCATTAAATGTAACGTACATATATACTACATTTTCTTTGTCCATTAGTCTGTAGATGGACATTTAGTTTGTTTCTATTTCTTGATCATTGACCTCATGTTAAATGAAAGAACAAGTAATATAATTTAGCATTTTGTTAAATTTAAGGAAGATTCATTTAAATTGTCATCAGTGAAGCAATAGGATCTATGCTGCTTGCCTTAAATATCACTCAGCAGTGCTGACATGAAGGGTAGAATCATAACGGATAGGTAATAGAGAAAAGATTCTATCAGCCTCAGGAATGTTAATGTAAAAGTCAGGGCTTGATTTCTTACCAGAGCTGATGCTGTTCAAAAGTCTTGCAGATGTTCAGCCTCTCTGACTAACTTCTTTCCCTTCTGATGTGGATCATTTTGTTCTGCACTCCATTTTCACTCTAGGTGTGTGTTACAATATCATCCATCTTGTATATTTGTCAGTTTATAACAGCTTTGCAAAAAGCATGTGAATTGCCTCAAGGCTAGTAATAAAAAATCTTTCCAACTTCCTGTGGATTTTTATATGTGCTTCACAGTTTCCTATACAAAATAATTGGGGGAAAAAATCTTCACTGTTCAAAATTGCTCTTTAACTTGCTTCCTTTTCCTTCTTTTATTCATTCACTTTTCATTTCTCTTACCTTTACAACGATCATCGAAAATAAAATCCAAGATCTTATTCTTAAAATGCAAGATTTTGAAAAGGCTTATTTCAGCTGGCTTTCAGCTTAATCTAAAGGAAGATTTATTGATGGTCTGTCAAGGTGGAGTTTCACCATCTATTTTTTTCCTATAGAATCTTCCATTTAAGACCCGTTCTTTGAACCAGAGCGATCAATAAGGGCTGGGAACATGGGCAGATACTGAGTTGAATTCCCATAAAAAGAGAAGCTAAATGGTTAGCACATAGGTGACAAATGGATTCTGCAGCTCAATCATGCCAGCCGTGCAGAAGTGCCAATGTGTCTTGGAAAGACTTCATTTTATCTACTGTTATTAGAAATACTGAGGGGCAGGACGGCTTTTGCCAAGATGAAGTGTCCCATATATGCCTCAGAAATATAAAGTCGTTCATGATTCCATGTCTAATTACAGTTTACCAGTGGAGATTTTTCTCACATATTACTTTCACTGCCATCTCTGTATATTTTCTGTAATCTTTGGCCAATCTGCTTGGGAAATTGACAAACTCCTCCATGAGAAATACTTTCAACGTATTCCCAGGTTTTTCCTTTCTTGAGAACTGGCTATATTAATGTTTAATCTATAGACAGTTCTTGATTACCTGACACTTCAAGGAGAAAATTGGTATTTTATTTTCCAATAAAATGCTGTATATATTTTTTCAATTCTATGTTTTGCTTCTGTTACTCAATACATGTTTGTTTGAATGGAGGGAGGGAGGGAGGGCAGGCAAAATCTCGATTGCTTGATGCTTTGGAAGAAGGTGGTTGTTAGGCTAATTGGAAAGTCCCCTGGTGCAGAGAACCACACTCTGTCCTGGCCTCTGCCCCACAGTCCCTCTCAGTCTGCACCTCTTGGGAGCAGGGCTATCTTTCACCACATGCACAGCACCAGCTCGAGCTAAGCTCTCCCTAAGGATACCATCTCTAGGCTGGGCACAGTGGCTCACACCTGTAATCCCACACTTTGGGAGGCCGAGGCGGGTGGATCATGAGGTCAGGAGATCGAGACCATCCTGGACAAGGTGAAACCCCGTCTCTACTAAAAAATACAAAAAATTAGCCGGGCGTAGTGGCAGGCGCCTGTAGTCCCAGCTACTCAGGAGGCTGAGGCAGGAGAATGGCATGAACCTAGGAGGCGGAGCTTGCAGTGAGCCAAGATCGCACCACTGCACTCCAGCCTGGGCGACAGAGTGAGACTCCGTCTCAAAAAAAAACAAAAAAATCTCTCAGCTCACCTTTTCCTGGAGCTCAGGAGAGATCATTGACAACATTGAGTGTCCTTGCCCTAGATCCTATCAGACTCAGTGACACAGGAAAAAATAAATATAAGTGGTTAGTAAATGTTAGGAAAGGAGCTGGGTTGTAAGAAAAGTTAACAAAGAGTAGTGAAATACAAAGCAACCCACATGAAAACTGGGAGGAGAGAAGGTGATATACCCACTGGCAAATAAGTTTGTCCAGTTTGATATAAAATATGGCCTATATCAAGTCAGAGAAAATAGCTAACTTTTAAATACCACCACCAAAAGCTAAGACATATGTCGGGGCAGGGGTGGGTGGGGAGCGGGACAACTCCCTCTGTGGGCTACATTTATGGTTTTGTCTGTGCTTGGGAGCACAAAGCTACACACAAAGATGGACACTGCTGGACAGTCAGATTCTAGAGAGGCATTGAGAAGACTATTTGATCCCAGGGAAAATTGTGGCTGTAAATCCAAAGAAACAGAGAGAAAACTGAGCTTGGATTCTGCTCTCCCATGATGTCATTTTTGCTGTAAATGAGAATGACTTGGAGTCGCCGCCCTGGAGTTAGCCCTCTTGCAGTAGTGCAGTGTCTGTGCTTGTGTGCATCCCTGCAGAAATGTAGTTGAATGAATGTAGATCACTCCAGCCCACATCTCTTTGGGTTATTTTCATCTCAAGTTGGGCCCTGTGAGGCTGCTTCCTCACTCATCATACACCCGTTTTCTTCTTCTTAACCTTCAATTTTTTTGACACTACCATGTTGAAGTGAGC
Source organism: Homo sapiens (assembly GCF_000001405.40). Taxonomy (NCBI): domain Eukaryota; kingdom Metazoa; phylum Chordata; class Mammalia; order Primates; family Hominidae; genus Homo; species Homo sapiens. The sequence continues at coordinate 38,753,533 of NC_000009.12, read as the reverse complement.
CCCATTCCTCCACTCCCAACCTTCCCATGAGCTCCCTCAAAAAATCCCCATTCCAAGCCCTGGCCTTTCCCCATCTGTCCAATGGACCCTTTTGCACGTCAGGCAGGGGAGAAGACCAGAAACTCCTGCTTAAACTTTGGCTAGTGGGGAAAAATCAAGAAGAAAGACACCTTGTTTCTGCCTACATATGGGAGAGAAGAGAAAAGAACATCTCTCTTTCGGTGGGAAAGACAGAAGGTGGTTCCAAGACAGGGAATATGACGGAGGAGGTATTCTATTCCATGAACTAAGACTGCCGCTAAGTGATTTGCGATTCACCATCCTCAATTCCTGGCAATAAAGTAGAAAATTTACTGTATTTCAGATATATGTTGGATATATGTTGGATAAGCAGGTTTCTGATGCTTAACAACTATTTATTACATCCTTTCACTGGGGAAATGTGTTCCAGATTTTATACAAAATGCTAATAAATCAGGGACTTCCACACTGACAAAACTGGCACTATAAACACACCAACCAGCCCCGTCATTCATCAGCCACACATTGTGAAAGTTTACTCCTACAAATAAACCAGTTATTCATAAATCTGAAGTTAAATCCAGCTGGTGGAGGGCTTATTGCTCCTCACTACAGCATCACTCTTTAGAATCTTATTACTGTTTATCTGGCATGTTGTTATTTAGCTTTTCCCATTTAGGGCTCAGCTGCTCATCTAGCTCATGAGCACTTGAAGGCAATGGACCACAGCTCCACTGCAAGGTCCCTGCAGCTGCCAGGACAGTGCCTTGCCTCTAGTGCAGCTGTCTATTCACTTACTGATTAATTTCTTCTTGAAGCCTTTAATCCGTCCATGATATATGTGGTGCAAAAACAAAATTCCTAGCCGTTCCTTGTCTAGGCTCCCAGGTACTCACTCTGCATATTGGGACAAAAGGTAGTTATCCCCCACGGAGCAGAACTCAGATGCAGGCCAGGCTGGCGCAGCCCTTCCAGACCCAGATAATCCCAACTCCAGAACTATGTACCTGCAGCCAACCAGGAGACAATACAAAACCAACTTGCGCAGGTGCCAACCAGGGTTCCTGCAGGAACCAGGGCAGCACAAAACGCTAGAGAAACCATGGTAGGGTCAGACTGAACGTGGAAGTTCCAGCCATTGACTGAAACAACCTGGGCAGGTACTCAGGTTACACAGCAATGCTCAGGGATTCTTGGAGGAGTCTAAGGAGTCTGGAGTGATGTGACGGGCACCTGTGCAGTGGGAATCTGGGAGCTGGTCATGGTGACTGGCCATTTTTGAGAATCTAGGCAGGTGGGAAGCACAGTGCAGGAAGCCCCAGGCACCAAACATGAGGTCTGCAGAGAGCGTTCATGTGTTTCAGAAGTTCAGTGATGGCACACCAAGGGGAGGAATGGCAGTGCCGTCCTTTGCCTCATCACCCTTTCTGGCATTGTTGATACTCAGGGCTCAGTGGGCCATGTTCATCCAGCCACTAATGCTCACCTGGTCATAGTTTTATTGGCTTCCAAGCCTGCGTATCTTTTTCACCTGCTGGGCTTTCAGCCCTAGTTCTTGGCTTGCATTAATCACAAATGCCTGTCCAATTAGATATTGCTGGTCCAGCAATGATTCTCAACCTCGGCTGCACATTGGAAACACCTGGGGAGCTCTTTCAGCATTCTGATCCCAGGCTGCACCAATTAAATCAGAATCTCTGGTGGAGGGATCCAGACACCGATATATTTTTTTCATCTTACCAAATAATGCATGTAGGGTTGCCATATTTAGTAAAGAAGAAAACAGAATGCCAAGCTAAATTTGAATTTCAAATGAACAAAACAAGTAATTTTTTGTACAAGTATATCCTGTGCACTATTTCAGTTTTTCCCAGGTTTAGATGTTTTTCTCATAATTACACTATGCTTATATGCTTTGGGAAGGAAGACCACAGAAGTATATCCCTTGCACTATTTGGGACATATTTATACTAAAAATATTATTTATTATTTATCTGAAATTTAGTTTACATAGGATTACAGCATTTTATCTGCAAATCCTATAACAAGCAGCCAAATAGGAGAGTCACTGGAATCAAGGAGAGAGAGCAAGAGCAGAGATTAGAGGGATTAAGCTGCCCAGAAGCACTGCAGAAGACCTGGAGCTCAACAACTGTTTTTTCTCAACATTTTACCAAACAGCACCTGAAGATGTCTAAGGATTTAGAGCTGTAACGCACGTTAAAAAAAAAAAAAAAATCCTAGTAAAATGCTTTGTAGTCTGAATTTTTCAATGAATCAAAAGTTTGTTGATTTATATACTTAACAACACTTCTAGGACACATTTTTTTTTTTTTTTTGAGACGGAGTCTCACTCTGTCGCCCAGGCTGGAGTGCCGTGGTGCGATCTCAGCTCACTGCAAGCTCCACCTCCCAAGTTCACACCATTCTCCTGCCTCAGCCTCCCGAGTAGCTGGGACTACAGACGCCCGCCACCACGCCCTGGTATTTTTTTTTTTGTATTTTTAGTACAGACGGGGTTTCACCATGTTAGCAAGGATGGTCTCTATCTCCTGACCTCGTGATCCGCCCGCCTCGGCCTCCCAAAGTGCTGGGATTACAGGCGTGAGCCACTGCGCCCAGCCATCTAGGACATAATTTAACGTCAATATTTAGGAATAAGAAATCCAGAATCTTTGCCCAAGGGAGCTGAATTTGGGAGTTCTGACTCGCTGAGCAGGGGAGGAGCAGGGGAGAACAGAGGGAGCGTCAGGGACTATCGATAATTCTGTAGTGCCTGACGCTCCCTCTGTTCTCCCCTGCTCCTATATGTGTATATATATATGTGTGTGTATATATGTATATATGTGTATATATATGTGTGTGTATATACGTATACATATATGTATACGTATATACATATGTATGTGTATATATGTATATACATATATATGTATATACGTGTACATGTATGTATACATATACGTGCACATGTATGTATACATACACGTGCACATGTGTGTATACATACACGTGTATATGTATGTATACATATATGTATATATGTAAACATATATGTATATATGTGTGTATATACATGTATACATATGTGTGTATATATACATATATACACACATATGTGTATACATATACATATATACACACATATGTGTATACATATACATATATGTATACATATATATATTTATCTTCCTCTTTCGAACTGATGAAATATCAGTATAATTTTTTTCCTGTGAGTTTGAAGCAGTTGTAGAGATTTGGGTAAACTCCTCACAAATCTAGAGAGGATGTTGAATAGGAAAACCAACTCAACAATTCAACTTAACAAAAATCTATTTGATAAGACAAAGTATAAGATAAATATCTGTAAGTCCATACTGATATAAATAAATGATTGAGTAAATAAATAAATGGAGGAGAACAGGAAAGTGTTCCATTCAGAAGAATCACAAATGGTTTGTATAGATGTGCACCCTCAAGAAGGACAAGCATAATTCCCACTCCTTAAGGGTGAGTTCTTCAAAATAACTTCCTTCTGAAAGCACAGTAAGGAAAGGGGAAAAAACAGTAACGTTATAGGGGAGAAATCTGCCAATGCCGTATCAGCCAGGTTAATATCACTAAGGTTACCATCCATAGTGCTGAAGTCCTGTTGACAGTGTGACCCTGTTAAGTGATGGGATGAGAATGATGCTTTACCCCGAGGTCTTCCTCCCCAAAATCCATAACACTTATCTAATAATGAGAAAAACCTCAGACACATTCCAATAGAGGGGTGTCCTACAAAATTCCTGACCAGTACTCCTCAAAACATGACAGTCATCAAAACCAAAGAATGTCTGAGAACCACAGCAAGAGGAGTCTTAAATGTAAGGAAGAATCCTGGAAAAGATCTTGGAGCAGAAAAAGGACATTAGGTAAAAACTAAGGAAATCTGAATAAAGTATAGACTTCGATGATGTTTCAATGTTGGATCATTAATTACGGCAAATGTACCATGCCAATATCAGATAATAAAATAGGAAAACAGGTACAGGGTAGATGCATACTCTCTGTACTATCTTTACAACTTTTCTGTAAACCTAAAACTATTCTACAAGCTAAAAGCTTATTTTAAAAAATCTATTCGGCACATAGTATATGCTTATCCTGCTCTACTTCTGTCCTCTCATTGACTCATGAATTTGCTATTTCCAGAGAATAAGTCAACTGTATCGATGTTACTCTGGAAACAAAGGTCCCCTTGCACAGTGGAGCCATAGGGCATGACTGGGAGGGGAGAGCGGACAGGTACACAGAGCACACAGGGAGAACATGGCCAAGATTATAACCAAGTACAAGTCCCTGTGGGAACACAGAGAAAAAGAGAAGAATTCTGGCTGTGGGGACCAGGGAGGAGCCCATGGAGGAGATGACCAGCATTTTCACTGCATCTGGGAGAATTGGTGTGATTTCAGCAGGCAGAGTTGGGCATCTGAATATCATTTAACCTAAGGAATAGTTGAAGAAACCAGAGGTATTAGATACAAGTGAAGATCTGAAATTGAGCAGTGACCTAAGAGCTGGCTTTGAATAATTGTGGGATGCTCAAATGGAGGAAGAAAGCATATCTGTGTGTCACTGCATTAAAAGAGAATAACAGAATGGACCAGAGAATAATTTCAGAAGGCAGATTTGAGCTTCACAAAAGAAAGATGTTTACAACAATTTAGCACCTAACCGAATTTTATTTGGAAAGAAAAAGAAACCCTCCCTTTGAAAAATCAGCATGGATCCAACAGACGAGTGAGAAATATAGGGTGTCTATACTGAACCACAGATCTTACTACATTTACACTCTTTAAAAACATGATGACTAAGTCAGAATTTTAAATGCTTCAATGAATATTTTAATTATAAAAATATTAAATATAAATGGTGCATTATAGGCTATAAAAACAATATATGATGTTTCTTCTCAATGAGCAAGTGAAACATATGGAAAAGAAATTCAGCCAAAATGTATTCCAATAAGCATCAATCGTGAAGTCTCATAAAAGAATAATGAGAAGGAAACTGAAGTTGGATGAATAACAACAGAATGGCCCACTGCTTTGATGACAAACTCCATAAAAGCGTGTCATGTAGTCATATGAGAATCTTGAGAGCAAGTCTGGCAGAGCAATTTAATGTCCATGTAAGTCAGTACATTCTACAGAGATCTTAGGGAACAATATCTCATGGCCATCCAGTTAAGTACCATTGACAGGCATATTTCATAAGGATGACAAAGTCATTGATATGGGGGCAAAATGTATTGTGTCTTAGCCATTGTGTCACAGTAAGGCTGTGATGTATTCTAAGCACAGGCCTTGCCACCGCTCCTTGCACAAAAGGCACTAACTCATTTTTCCAATGAATTAACACAGAGTCCCTCTCCCAGAGATAGTGTAAATCTGCTGACTTCTACATCCAGCTCATTTATCTCCTTCCCTTTCCTACAGGAGGGAGGGGAAGAGTTGGACACTGTTCCCCAGGCCAACTGCCTTGGGCCTCTGAGTCTAGTGAGTTCCATGAGGTTGTCAGTTCCAAGGAGCAGGGAAGGTCTGGACATGTCAAGGTCCACTCACAGTTCAGTGTGATGAAGAACAAGATGCAATTGTTTGTTAGAAAATCTTGAAGAAAGAAGACATAATTCTAGAATTACCTATGCCCATGTGAAAACATAATTCTAGAATTACCTATGATCATGTGAGTTGAAGAAAATTGGTGTACAGCAGCGGTTCCCGACCAGGGGTGATTTGCCTCCTTGGGAACATGGAGTAATGTTTGGGTTGCCACACCTTGAAGGAAGGAGTGTCGCTCCTGGCATCTGAGTAGAGGTGAGGGGTGCTGCAAAACATCCTACAATGCACAGGACCCCCCAGCACAATTATCCAACCTAAAATATCAACGACACCGAGGCTGGGGGACGCTGCTCATAGGACAAACATCCTACAACGCACAGGACCTCCCAGCACAATTATCCAACTGAAAATATCAACGACACTGAGGCTGGGAATGCTGCTTATAGGACAAACATCCTACAATGCACAGGACCTCCCAGCACAATTATCCAACCTAAAACATCAATGATGCTGAGGCTGGGAATGCTGCTTATAGGACATCTCGGACTTGGGCTTGAAAGCCAAACAAAAAATATAGTTTCTCTGGACACTACTTTCTGTAAGTCACATGCTAAGCAGCTGTTTATTATTACATGGGTGTTCCCTCATTCCTCAGATTCAGGGAAGTTCTTTCCTGGCGGCAGCAACTTCCGTTCCCACCAGCCACGGCCCCCTGCTCCATCTAGCAGGCAGCACCTGGGTGATGTTCCTCCAGGTGTGATCTGACTCAACCCCCGCCCATGCAAGCAGCACCTCCACCACATCTCAGCCCCGTGGCATGACCGGACTGTGCGTCCAGGGTAGGAAACACGGCGTAAGAACATCAGAAAATGAAAGACGTCAGTGAGCCAGCTCTGTCTCCAGAAAGGAACACTCTTGTGTTAAGTCCTGGAGACAAGACAGGAAAGATGAGTCTCAGATGCCAGACCGAGAAGTTCATGCTGTATCATGTAAACACTGCGAAGCCACGAGTCATTTCCAACAGGGGGAATAATATGGAGAAAAATGGCAATTTTACGAAGAGTAACTAAGATAGATTTATACTGTTTTGGGTCACACTTCCTTCCACCCACCCTCTCCTATTAACAAATATCCCAGGGAGATACAAATTATGTCTTTCCTTTAGTAACACTGAAATTTCAAATTTTAAAAGTTAAGAAAGAATATAGATTGATTTTTTTTGTTTTTATTCATGGGAATTCATTAAAACAAATATATTGTCTTCTCTTTACAGTTCATCATCATCATAACTAAATATGAAGTTTTCCCTTGTATCCAATTTAATAAAACTGCATTAGGAAATGCAACATGTGAAACAGTGCCGTTAGAGTTGTGGTGATTAAATCACTCGTGGTACAAATAAAATGCCTCGCCTTAGGGAACAAATGTGCAGTCACAGTGCCCTGGTGATAACTAGACCAGATTTTCCCATTTGCTGGGAGACCCTCATTTTTAGTCAACGTTCAGTCACTTCTCTAATTTCTCCCTCTTAAATAATCTTATTTAATTCAGTTGAAATTACATTCCTTATCACCAATTATAATTTTTAATATTGATATCTATTTCACAGATCACTTTTGAGCAGAAAAACTTAAGACTACATACAACTGAAAGAGCATAAAATTATTTCAAAATGAAAGGAGGATCAGAGCAAGCTAAAAGTTTTGATTTATTTCAACAAACCCCTTTCAACCTATTGTCCAGGCATCTATCAGTTTCCAATGCATTAACATAGGAAACAAACCCACAGAATCTAATGTTCTCATTGTAATAATTATGACTTTTATTCAGGAATTATCTGGTGGGAGATGATATGCATGATCCTGACATTCTGCATGCCAGGGCGTCCATATCACACCCGGGCTCCCTACATGGAGGGAAGGAGAGCCTCAAATTACCTGGTGAGCCACGGAAGTGGAAGCCAGGTGGGAATCTCATGCATTAAATCAGGATGGCATTTTATTTATCTTAGATCCTCTGTGCTATGCCGAAGTGTCTGAAACAGATCAGTTCCTCAGTAAGTACAGATATATCACAAAAATAAAATATTTATGACTTAAGAAATGATTTGTGTATGCACCTATTTTTTCCTCAAATTGTAAATTCCTCAAGGCTATGTGGCCATCTCCCGTAGTGTTTGCTGGAGTGATCTGAATTTTAACCAAAAACTAATCCTTGAATAGAACAGAGTCTCGTTAATAAGGGCAACCTCTTACAACAGAGCTGAAAACTCAACAAGCCAGAAGCGCACAGAAGTGGGTATTATGATTTCTTCTGACCGGAGATCTGGAGACAGCGCCAGAAAACTCACTTTTCTTTCTTTCTTTTTTTTTTTTTTTGAGACGGAGTCTGGCTCTGTCGCCCAGGCTGGAGTGCAGTGGCGCGATCTCGGCTCACTGCAAGCTCCGCCTCCCAGGTTCATGCCATTCTCCTGCCTCAGCCTCCCGAGTAGCTGGGACTACAGGCGCCCGCCGCCATGCCTGGCTAATTTTTTGCATTTTTAGTAGAGACAGGGTTTCACCGTGTTAGCCAAGATGGTCTCGATCTCCTGACCTCGTGATCCACCCGCCTCGGCCTCCCAAAGTGCTGGGATTACAGCGGTGAGCCACCGAGCCCGGCCTTTTTTTTTTTTTTTTCTTTGAGACGGAGTCTTGCTCTGTCACCCAGGCTGGAGTGCAGTGGCGCGATCTTGGCTCACTGCAAGCTCCGCCTCCCGGGTTCACGCCAGTATCCTGCCTCAGCCTCCCGAGTAGCTGGGACTACAGGCGCCCACCACCACGCCCGGCTAATTTTTTTGTATTTTTAGTGGAGATGGGGTTTCATTGTATTAGCCAGGATGGTCTCATCTCCTGACCGCGTGATCTGCCTGCCTTGGCCTCCCAAAGTACTGGGATTACAGGCGTGAGCCACTGTGCCCGGCCCTCACTCATGTAATTTTCACTGTTGCTGAAAACCATCTCCTCATTAATATAGAATCCAAGTTCACATCCTTTGTGAAGGCCAGGCAGAAGTCATCTCTCTCCTTTTGGTTTCTAAAGTCCTTTTACTTTGTCTTTCTATTATGTATAACAATCATTTATAACTGTTGTAAAGTCCTTAACAACCTTATTTGCTGTGGCTTGAGTGTGTGTGTAGTTTTTGTTTGTTTTGTACACAGCGCCTAGAGCAGGTTCTAGTCTCTAGCAGGTATTAACAGATGTTTGAAGAAGCAGAGGCTCAGAAACTTAAGTGGCTTGCCCAATATCACTGAGCTACTTCAGACAGTTTTGAGACCTCTGGTTGAGTGTCCTAACTCTACATTCAGTGGCCTTTTTACCTCCCGCAGCTTACATATCTTATTACCTTCAAAAACGTAACACACCACTAAAACATTTCCATTGCACAGGATGTCAATAACCATCATCTGGACCTCTCCAGTGGAAGGAAAGGACCTGAATTTTTTCTGTTTAACCTCAGAGAACCCATGAATACCAAAGAACTTCCCAGAATTCCCAAACTTTAATATGCATACAAATCTCCTGGGCATTTGTTAAACCGCAGAATCTGCAGTAGATCTGGGACAGGACCTAAGAAGCTACAAGTTCATAGTTAATGGCAATGTTATTGATGAGAGTGAAGTTATATATAACCATTCGTTAAGCTCAATTCCCCAGTTTCCCTAAGGATGAAAGAAATTAGGGCAATGATTTACCGTCTTGGCCATGTGTTGGAATTACAAGGAAGCTTTAAAAACACCCACTGATGTCTGAGTACTGCCTCCTCGGATTCCAGTTTAGTTGGTCTAGGAAGCAGTCTGGACATTGGAATTTTTTAAAACTCTCAGATGAATCTAGTCTGCAGCAAGGCTAAAGACCACTGTTATAAGTGATCTGCTTTATGATTGCAGTGGGAATGCTGAGGACAGACATTCAGGCCACATATTCACTGGCCAGTGCCCACCTGAGACCAGGGTGGACTCAACTTCAGAGTTGCTACTACTCTGCCAACAGTGATGATAATTAAAAAAAAAAAAAGCTCTCTTGTACAGCTGCTGTGTATCAGGCAGTGTTTTGAACATTTTATAAATATTATTAACCCCTCAAAACATGCTGTAAAACTATTATTATCATTTCACAGGTGAGGAAACTAAGGGATGGAGAGATCAATTAATTTGCCTAAGAACAATAATTCAAGATTCCAACCCAAGTAATATGGCTCTTGGGCCCATGCATTTAACCAGGTAGCTCTACTGGCTCCCTACTAAGAATATTCCACAGGTCCTGTTAAAAGCTGAACTGTGGCCAGGCACGGTGGCTCACGCCTGCAATCCCAGCACTTTGGGAGGCCGAAGCGGGTGGATCACAAGGTCAGGAGATTGAAACCATCTTGGCTAACACAGTGAAACCCCAACTCTACTAAAAATACAAAAAATTAGCCGGGTGTGGTGGCAGGCGCCTGTAGTCCCAGCTACTCAGGAGGCTGAAGCAGGAGAATGGCATGAACCTGGGAGGTGGAGCTTGCAGTGAGTGGAGATCGCACCACTGCACTCCAGCCTGGGCTACAGAGTGAGACTCCGTCTCTCAAAAAAAAAAAAAAAAAAAAAAAAAAAACAGTTATATGGCTGACATAATAACGGAATCAGCCTCTTTTTTTCCACATGCATCAGGCAGAGTGCAGAAGTACTGCAGATATCCCAAGTGTTCCACAACCCCCATCTGATCACTGACATGCTGGGCTATTTGAAGAGGCTCTGATTGGTATCCCAAGCCCAGCCTTCTCTCCTCCAATTCTCCCTTCTCTCAGGGCTGATGGTGTCACCTTTCTTCTACAAATCTCCTATGGGTTCCCATGGCTGCAGAGTATATGTGATGCCATAGCTCGACATCCAAGGTCTTCACAATGTGGCTGACCTCTTTTATGCTTTCTCTCCTCCCCAACTCTTCCCCACTATCCTCCCTTCATCTACTCCCAAATGCAGACTCCGTGCTCCAGCCAAAATGCACACTCACTGCCCACCACCATCCTAGAGTGCTCCTCCACGACCTCTCCTCTTCTTTAGTCAAAATCCCACTCTTCTTGCAAGACCCAACTCACACATGCCCCACCATATGAAACACAGAGCGCTGTATCTCATCAGCATCACTCTCTCCTCCCCTGTCCTCCAAGGCACCCTGTAGAGACCTCATGACCACACCTGTCACAGACAGGCTTGGGATTCTAACAGTTGTTACATGTGAGCTCTCTAGGGACAAGGATGCATCATATTTCTCTCTGCTTCCTGGGTACCTGGAGCAGTGCCTCGCACAGGTGTTTGGTAAACTTTTATGGACCCAAATTTGCTAGGTATAATGCACGATTATGTCCCTGAAACACTGTCCTGTTGGAATGCCTGCGGAATGCTCAATGTAGCCTTTAATGAGAGTTGTATGAGCTATTTACTGTTTCAGAAATCAAATCTCAAAAATTACTAAAGCAGCCAAAACACAAGATAAGAATATAAGCAAATTATCCAATAACCAAGACTTTTCCTCTCACTCTTGTAAGAGCTCTGAATTGATTATGGCACATCTCTTTTAGAACCTACAAACTGGCCCAAGGGGACAATGAACCCATTAAAAAATAGGAGAAAGGCAAGTGTTTGTAAAGCCGTTCCAGCACAGGGCTGGACACATTTCACACCATGAATGCAAAATGTGTTCTCTCTAGAGATCATGCCATTTCTGAGTGTAGCCAAGGCTTGAATCCCTGCTTCCTTCTTTCACTTTGCATTTTCTCAATTTCAGGCCATTAAGAGCTGAGAAAGGGGTTCAAATATCGCCAAATGCAAAATATACTGAAGAAGCGATTTACAATGATTTGCATTCTCAAGAAACCCAGCCTCTGCTTTCCAAGGGACTTCTTCCAGGGTATTTGTCTGCCTGGTGCCCTCCAGGTTCCTTGGCCTTGACTAAATCAGTGCTGGCTGTCTGGAAGTGACCCCTCCTTCCCTGGCATTTCAGCAACTATAGCCAATTTTACCTTCTCGCTTTACCATGAGCTATTGTGTTTTTAACCTATCACAGAGGACAGGACAGCCTTAGAGATCTTTATGGTCCCCTCTGTGTTTAGCATCTAGTAACTAATTAGTGAATACTTATTGAATTTAAAAGAAAAGAATGTATCTAGACGAGAAAAAGTTCTAAATTGTCACCATGCCTGTAAGTCAAAAATCAGACTTTCCCCACACTGACAGGGCTCTGTTTCTTCAAACAGGCCAAAGAGCCCAGCCAGAGACGAGGATCAGCAACAGGAATGATTATCAGAACATATATCAATGCACATTGCTTGTATATGATGGCTGCTTAAAAAAATCAATCAAATTCCAAAATATCAATGGTAGCTTTGAATATTTTGGTGGGACTTTGCCTTTACTTCCTCAGTGATAGCTTTGAGCTCAGCAGAGAGGAAGGGAAAAAGGATTTTGTTGGTTAATTTGGGTCTCAGAGGTTTTTTTAGATCCCATACTCTTCTCAATGACTATGTAGCTAATTTTTTTTCAATTTCTCCCAAATACTACAGGTGAATTTATACTTAGGCAAAAGGAAGCCAATAAGTGCCAGAAACTGTGCTGGGCTCCGGGGAAAGAGTTGGAAGGCTAGTGTCTGGAGTTTTCCAGGGGACAGAGGAGGAGGAAAACAATGAACACAAGGAAATGCTTTAAAATCTAGTTGAAAAGTACAGTGAAAAGGGCCAAAAAGAAGTGCAGATAAGCTCTCTTAGTCCAGTGGGAGAGAGGAGAGTGAAAGCAGTGTCAGGAAGGGGATTCCTCAAGGAAATGCTACCCGGGCAGAGGGAAAGATAATTCTATATTCAAGTTCACTAGATCATCTGACCAACTCATTAAAAGAGAAATACAAAGAGAGAATAAACATATGGGGAAAACAACTAATTACACTGACAAATGTCAATCAAAGTATCAACAATATATTATTCATTTCAAATATGATATTAACAAAAATGAAGCTCTTTAGTGATAACCAGAGTTTGTGTGGATATGAGAAATGAACCCTCCTATACATTGGCAGTCAGGGTTTACATTAGGCAAACTGTTGTCAAGAATCATATGGTAATTTTCTGTTTCTGGCATTTGTTGTCTTTCTGGGGTAATGGATTAACAAGAGTGTGGGTTACATGGGTATATGTGTTTGTCAGACTCATCAAACTGTATACATAAGATGTGTGCATTTCACTGCTTATAAAGTAAACTTCAGGTGGGGCACAGTGGCTCACACCTGTAATCCTAGCACTTTGGGAGGCCAAAGCAGGCAGATCACAAGGTCAGGGGATTGAGACCATCCTGGCCAACACGGTGAAACTCCTTCCCTACTAAAAATAGAAAAATTAGGTGGGCATGGTGCTGTGTGCCCGTAGTCCCAGCTACTCGGGAGGCTGAGGCAGGAGAATGGTTTGAACCTGGGAGGTGGAGGTTGCAGTGAGCTGATATTGCACCACTGCACTCCAGCCTGGTGACAGAGCAAGACTCCAGCTCAAAAAAAAAAAAAAGGTACTTCAATAATAAAAAATAAATAAATCATAAATTAATGAATTCACCAAGCTAAATGTACTTGGGCATTCACTACCACATTACTTGTAATAGCCAAAAGGTGCAGATAACTCAGGTGTTGGCAAATATGGACCTAGTAGAATAAACATGACGTATCTATTGAATGAAATATTAGGCAGTCAGTTAAAAGAATGGCAACTAGGAGGGTACACATAAACATCAAGCAGAGTAGTGTCTCTCAAGTGTAGCATGCATCAAATCACCCAGAGCGCTTGTTAAAAACACGGATTGCTGGGCCCCATCCCTAGAATGTCTCACTCAGTACGTTTATGATGGGACCCAGGAATTTGCATTTCCAATAAGTACCCAGGTGATACTGATGCTGTGGGTCCAGGGAGCACATTTTGAGAACCACCGTGTTAGAGAAATTCCTACTGGGTGTTACTTCCCCAGAATAGGCTCATAAAGCCTTCCTCCTCTCTCACTCCCTCTTCTTCCTCCTCATTATCCCATTCATCATCATCATCAACATCATCACTGCCATCACCACCATCACTATAGAGCAGGTGCAGGGAGAAGTCTTGTGCATACTAGCTGTGGCTCATGCACACACTCCTCTAATGGGAAGCCTTATCTGTCTCTTTCACAATCCCAAATGACTTTGTTGCTAACTAAGCTCTGAAATTACCTGTCTGTGCACAGCTTCCCTTTTGCATTGTAAATATCTTGAGTGTATGAATCTATTCTTTGTAACCATAGACCTGTGACAAGTACAGAGTCAACTGCCCTTTCTAGGAGACCTGCGCCCCAGCCAGTTGCCTGACAACCTGTCAGTCACTCCTTCCTGTGCCTAGGATGCAAGACCCACAGCTCTAACCTGACCAACAGGACCCTTCAGGGAGGGGCAGCCCCCTTAACAGCTTCTCCACTGGACTCAATTTGAGCTGTTCACCACACCCATCTCCTCTCAGAGCTTCCAGGGCTGCACGTTCTCATCTCCCCTTGGACAGTAATAACTGCCAGGCAGGGACCCTCCTTCCTGCCCTAGTCCTTTACTTTCATGTCTTAGCTTTAGACTTCAACTCCTCCAGGAGGCCTCCCATGATTGAGCCTCACTGTCCCACATACGCACATGCTAGTCCCCCTCTTGCAAAAAGGTCTCATCGTATCACTTGACACACTAAATGTTACTTCAATTTGTGTGTCTGTCTGTCTGTCTTTCCCAGTAAAACATAAACTCCATGAGGGCAAAGATCCCATCTTTTAGCTCACCATAGTATCCCAAGAGCTCAGTACTGATGTTCCACAGCCCTTTTAAAAAATAAGATAAAATAAATGCTTCCTCTTTTTTTTGAGATGGGATCTCACTCTGTTGCCGAAGCTGGAGTACAGTGGTGTGACCACAGCTCACTGCAGCCTCAACCTCCCAGTTTCTCAAGTGATCCTCCCACCTCAGCTTCCCAAGTGGCTGGAACTACAGGTGCATGCCATTGTACCTGACTAATTTTTGTATTTTTTTATTATTATTATTATTATTTTTCTAGAGCTGGAGTCTCACTATGTTGCCCAGGCTGGTCTCGAACTCCTGGGCTCAAGTGACCCACCCACCTCAACCTCCCAAAGTGCTGGGATTACAGGCGTGAGCCATGGCACCCAGCCAATAAATATTTCAAGAAGAAAAATCTAGCAATGAAATAAAAAACACATTAAAATCTTCAAATCATGCCTAAGGATTCCTGATTAAGAGCCTACTTTCTACCTCTCCTGTAATCTTGATTCACAAATTTGATAGAGTATTTTTACAGACCAAAAGTTCCGGTCTTTTGATTATTGATTAACGTTAAAGAGGCTTTGGCTGGTCAGTGTTGCAGGCTTTAACAGGCATCACAATAAAGTCTCAGTCTTTTTCATTATCCCACAATGTATTTCAGACCCCTGGACAGTAGGACTGAGGAGATTCAATCTGGAATTTCCACGCCTTTGCCTTCACTCCCGTCTCTTTAGTGCTTGAGCATCACATGGAGCCACCAAGCTCCTGCAGTCTGTGCCCCTTGGATTCCTTCCTCTTCAAACCTCTGGTTTTAGATCAGAGGAACTAGAATCCCCTAAAACACTGCAGCAATTTACAAGGTCATACCACGAAGGAGGAACAGAGCAGATCAACTGCAGCCGTAGTCATCTGAACGGCAGGTTCTCTGCAACGTGTTCCCTGTCTCCTACCTTCCGGTGAACGTTTCTGAAAAAAGAAGATATCTAATTTGATACGTTCTGTATTACATTTCCATTTTCCTTTCACACAATGCAATTTACTTTCCTTTGGTTTTTAATGCCAATGTTTAATTCTTATAAATTCATTCTAATGGGTTTTTTCCCCACTAAATGATTAACAGCTGTGAGCTCTGGAGGGCTACACTGTATGTAAGCACCACATTTTGTTTATCCATTCACCCATATAGAGTTGGAGACTTGATTGGCTTCCACCTTTTGGCTATTGTGAATAGTGCTGCTATGAACGTGGGTCAAAGTATTATTTTTAAACTGCTAATTTCCACCAAGGCAGGTAAGAATCAATGCGCATCCATTTCAGCTGGAGATTTCAAGACAAGAGAAACACCTGATTGCCAAAGACTGCATTTTAGATGGAAAAGACTTCAAAAGGTTTCTCTCTTCCCATGACTCCCTTTAGATGGCTCCACCCTTCCTCACATTCCAGCCTCCTGCATACACCCCAATAACTGTGGGTTCCACCTTTTCCTCTGGCTCCCTCACACCTTCTATCAGAACTGTTCATTCAGGAATCTGTATTTCTGAAACCTAGACGGCCTCAGCTCCAGAGGGGCCTGAGGTGATGTAAGCAGTGGGGACGGCAGTGCCCAGAAGCTTTCAGACACAGCTGAGCAGCCACAGCTCCTGTGACTGCTGACACAGCCCAAGGCTCCTGTGTCATCTGTCCCTGCCTCTCTCCTGACACTTACTTCCAGTTAACTCCAACTAACTGATGACATCCAGTATCCAGTGACTAGGAATAACCTGAGCTATGGATTGGAAGCCAAGCAAAGGCTGTGTTTGTGTGGGGAGAAAGTGGTTGCCTGGAGAGGAAAAGCTATTGGGTGGCTTTTATTAAATTTCTCCTATTTTAGGAATAGAAAGATTAAAGGAAATAAATCATGACCTTCACAAAATCCTTCCTTATTATGTTGACATCCTATAATCCTATTACAAATTACAAACGAGGTGTTTGGGTGCAGAGCAGGCCTGGGCCCAGATCTGTGGATGGCAGTGCTCAGCTGCATCCCGTGGTACAGGCAGAGAGCAGCTTGTGTCCAGGCTTCTGGCCTTTTCCCTCTTGTTTCTTGATGCCTTGACTCCAGAGTGTAGGGCAAAGAGACCTTCAGATACAAGAAATGTTTGGATGCAACTGTCTTGGAAATCTTTCCTCAAATGCGCTGATGAAAGGAAAAAAATATATCTCATACTGCAATGGCTGTGGGAACATGTCCTGGAGCCGCCATGTCAGCTGAAGAACAGAGATCATGGAGCTAGTGGGGGCCATGTGCAATTGTAAAACTGGATTGCAGCATGCTCATCAGTGTTCCTCTGAACTGAAGAAAATGTGTAATTTTTTTCTATCTCATTGATAAATATTTCTAACACTTTCAACGTTAAATAGAATTGACAAGTGATGAGTGGAGTATGCGCTTCCATTAGTTTTAATATTTTTTTGAAGGTAAGTTTTATGCCTATGTGAATTGCTGCTAATATATTTATTTTAGGTTGTGAACTTCAGTCGTAAAAAAATAATAAAAATTGTTATTTTCCAGGCTTCTGTTTATGATGAATTTGTCATTTATAGAAGACCCACTGGGAAACTGTAAGAGATATTTTATTTAGATTTTTGTGGAGGTATTACATATTCTTAAAATATTTTGGTCCTCAGTCATTTTCAGGCTCAATAATTTTTTTAAAGCCAGCAAGAAAAGAAATGCAAAGATGCTGAAGGAAAAATCAGCAATACTATGGCCCAAAAGCTCCAGCAGAAATCCCCCATCTGGGCCTCAGATATGGTCATTGATATGGATGGGAGCTGGGGCTGGAAAGTCACCCCCTTCCAAGGCCTGGGGGCTGGACACTGTCCCTCGTATAGGAAGGGTCCCAGTGCAGCCTGGGGAAGCTGTTCCATGAAAGACAGTCAGTCTCATCCAAGCTCAGGATCTGAAAGGTTTATGGGTTTAAAAATAAAAATGAGAAACTGAACAGACAATATTATGTCATTATTTTCAAACGGATATAAACTATAAAGAAGAGAATATTGCCTAGAGGCATTTAGGGGAAAAAGAGGAGTTTTTATTTCATGGGAGAAACATTTGTTCCCAAATGGGTTTTTTTTCCTGTGGGCCAGGCTAATATTGTGATTAAATTGTAATTTTCTTAAAAAACAGGCAAAACGGCCGGGCGCAGTGGCTCCCGCCTGTAATCCCAGCACTTTGGGAGGCTGAGGCGGGTGGATCACGAGGTCAGGAGATCGATACCATCCTGACTAACAAGGTGAAACCCCGTCTCTACTAAAAATACAAAAATTAGCCGGGCGTCGTGGCGGGCGCCTGTAGTCCCAGCTACTCGGGAGGCTGAGGCCGGAGAATGGCGTGAACCCGGGAGGTAGGGCGTGCAGTGAGCTGAGATCGCGCCACTGCACTCCAGCCTGGGTGACAGAGCAAGACTCCATATCAGGAAAACAAAAAACAAAACAAAACAAAAACAGGCAAAACAATCATAATAGCAGATTCCTGTTTGGTTGTAATACACTTTCAAATAAGAGATACTTTCTTGGCATCTGTTACATGTCACAGCCCCTGGCAATGCTATTTTTCCAATGAAACTAGCCCTTTAAAACATTTGCATTAGGCTGGGCACGGTTGCTCACGCCTGTAATCCCAGCACTTTGGGAGGCTGAGGAGGGCAGATCACAATATCAAAAGATTGAGACCATCTTGGCCAACATGGTGAAACCCCCTCTCTACTAAAAATATAAAAAATTAGCTGGGCGTGGTGGTGGGTGCCTGTAGGCCCAGCTACTTGGGAGGCTGAGGCAGGAGAATCGCTGGAACCCGGGAGGAGGCAGAGGCTGCAGTGAGCCGAGATCGCGCCACTGCACTACAGCCTGACAGAGCGAGACTCTGTCTCAAAAAAATAAAACAAAAAAACACTTGCATTAAACATTTTGTTAAACCATGATTTTTGGAGTTGAAATCACACAGAAGGAAGAAAAGAAGGAAGGGAGGGAGAGGAAGGAAGGAAGGAGGAAGGGAGGGAGGAAGGGAGGTCTCTGACTATAAGCTTTAAAATTCTTCCTACAGGGTTTATTAAGGCTTACATTGTGACCAGCCAGTTTCCCTGGTAGTTTATCTTTTAAGCTCTAAATAAACAAATGAGATTTAACTGAGCATCACTATTAACACTATCAGGCTCCAAGACCATAAGATTGTAGCCTCTAAGATCTCGTGGCAATTTAGAGATGATGGCCAGGAGGCAGCCAGGAGCTGGGCACGGCTATTCTTGGTCACAGCATCACTGACTGGGTCCTCGAAGATGCCAGCAGGAGCGGGCCCTGTGTCCTTGGGCAGTTTCTAGTCTGCCCAGCCCACATCACCAGCCAGGACCATGAGCAACGTATGTCCGGGAGATGAGAGAGGGAGGTCGTGAGCCTTTCTGGAGTAGGACACAGAGATGTGTTGGTCCCAGAACTAATGTCTGTGTCCTCAGGAGCTGTGGGGTCTGTGTGCATGGAGGCTGAAGCCACAGGGATGGTGACTCTAGAGGTGTGTGTAGTTCCCTGCACCATTTCCAGGCTGGCTGCATAGCACCTGTGCTCCAAGGAACTCCCTGGGATTGTCTATCATTATCTGACAAACTCATGCCATGGCCATTATTTTATTATTTGCCCATTCAACCAACATATACAGAGCACCTGCTAAGTAGTCAATAAAACAAAGTCCTTACCCATGTGGAGCCTTCACTAGTGAATGCATTCATTTTATTTTTGAAGTCATTACCATCATGATTATTACTGACACTCCCTAACCTGAGGATGCTGGTGTAAATTCTACACCTGAGTGAGGCGCTTGTGTGTCACTCACTGTGAAGTCAGAGGACCAGGAGCTCACGCACCCCTCCTAAGCAGGGCCAAGCCTCCACAGACAGCGGCTGTTGCCTCCATACCCACGTTACTTCCCGTTTCCCGTCTGTAAACCAGAGAGAAGGTGCTGGTCAGGGAGGCGCACAAGTTTCCCTCTGGTTTGGGGGGTAGAGTTTTCCGACAGGGCTGTAGTGAGAGAGAAGCTCGGGCTACACATCCAGCTTCTGTGGTCCAGCGTACTCCAGGGCAGGATGACCGCAGAGGATCATTTGGTACTGTCTTCCGTGAAGCTAGGGGAAATGTGTCACACTTCAGGCACAAACCCCAAATGTGAAGAGCCAGCGTAGAATTCATGAGGATTCAAAACACGAGGATCAGCCTTGGCCAATACACCCGTGATAGAAGTTCATTAATTCCTCCCCTTTGTGAGGCAGCCCTGGAGAAGGCAGACCCCTCACAGTGCTGAGTAAGCCAGCCAGAGAGGAGTACAGATTCACAGCATCAGAAGCAAGGTTGGGACTTCCCTATTCCGGCTTTGGTAAGAGCTGAGAACCAACAGGTGGCCCCCCCTGGCTGAGATGAGGCCTTTCTGCCAGGCGGCTGGTCAGCAGGACCACTCCTGCCCACCGCCCTTTCATCTTGGGTAGGACCAGCAGTGCTGGCCCTTGGGAGAGAAGGCGGGACCTTTAAATAGAGCATGTTGCAAAATACTCCGTCCCCTGCTCCTATAGACATTACCCAAAGCTTCTCCTACTGGGGTGGTCCATGGGGTTGCAGCCTGCTGAACCTGTGATTCACTAGCTCCTGAGGCTGTACTGCCCTCAAATACAGCAAAGTCGGAGCACAACAAAGCTCCGCACAGCGGAGAAGGCATTCTCTGTAGCCCGTTATTCCCCCACAGCAAGCAGCAGCCCGAGTTCAGGCATAGGAGAGATCGCGCTTTTGCACTAAGAAATGTGTGAACAAACCCCAAGGCTTCCAGCCCTCAGCAAGATCCAGGACTGGGATTGATGGGCCCCAAAAGACCTGAAATCAGCAACCCTGCTAACAGCTGCTCCAGACCCCAGGGCGGCCGGGACCACTCTCTAAGCAATCTGCCTCTGCTCCGCTGGCTGGGTGCAGAGGGTATAAATCAGCACAATCTTTCACAAGCAGTTTCAAGTGCATATCAAGCACTATCGCGCTTCTCAAAGGCCCAAGAATGATACAATGGACTCTGGGGACTCGAGGGGAGGAGTCGGAGGGGGTTAAGGGATAAAAGACTACAAATATGGCGCAGTGTATACTGCTTAGGTGATATGTGCACCAAAATCTCACAAATCGCCACTAAAGAACTTACTCATGTGATCAGATACCACCAGTACCCCAATAGCTTATGGAAAAATTAAAAAATAATAATAATTTACATTTTTTTTTTGAGACGGAGTCTCACTCTGTCACCCAGGCTGGAGTGCAGTGGCACGATCTCGGCTCACTGCAAGCTCCGCTTCCCGGGTTCATGTCATCCTCCTGCCTCAGCCTTCTGAGTAGCTGGGACTACAGAAGCCCGGCTAATTTTCTGTATTTTTACACGTCATTCTCCCGCCTCAGCCTCCGGAGTAGCTGGGACTACAGGCGCCCGCCACCGTGCCCGGCTAAATTTTTGTATTTAGTAGAGACAGGGTTTCACTGTGTTAGCCAGGGTGGTCTCAATCTCCTGACCTCGTGATCTGCCCGCCTCAGCCTCCCAAAGTGCTGGGATTACAGGCGTGAGCCACCGCACCCGGCCAAAATTTTTTAAACATTTTTTTTTATACTTTAAATTCTGGGATACATGTGCAGAATTTGCAAGTTTGTCACATAGGTATACACATGCCATGGTCGTTTGCTGCACACATCAACCCATCATCTACATTAGGTTTTTCTCCTAGTGCTATCCCTCCCCTAGCTCCCACCTCCTGACAAGCCCTAGTGTGTGATATTCCCCTCCCTGTGTCCATGTGTTCTCATTGTTCAACTCCCACTTATGAATGAGAACATGAGGTGTTTGGTTTTCTGTTCTTGTGTCAGTTTGCTGAGAATGATGGTTTCCAGCTTCATCTATGCTCCTGCAAAGGACATGAACTCATCCTTTTTTATGGCTGCATAGTATTCCATAATATTTTTTTTAAAGGGCTATCTTGCTTCTGTGCCCCTCAGCCCAGTGACCCCACTGGAGGGATGGTGAGGATGGTGGAGTGTGCTGCTGAGTGTGCAGTGACCATCCTTCCCCGGTTCTTACCATGAGTCATGACTTACATACACCCAGCCACTAGCTTGCTTCTCACTCAGGACCTTGTATGTAAAGCTTTATTTAATTGAAATTATGGCTTTTTGCATTGCTTAGTTTAGCCTAAATTAAGTGTTCCTGGGCAGTGGGTCTCATCAGGGGATGCCCTTTAGAATCACCAGGGAAGCTTTTAAAATATTTCTTTTCCTGGAACCCATTCTCCTAGAGATGATCATTCAATTTGTCTGGGGATGGGACCCAGGAATGTGAATTTTAAAAGCTGCCCAAGTAGTCTGTGTAGCCAGGACTGAGTCCTTGTTTCATCTACAGTCAAGCAGCTGTGTTAAGGGCATTGGGGTCAGATCCAAGGAATGAAGCTCTGTGAGGCAAGCATCAATTTTCTCAACTATGAAGGGGAAAGAAATGGAAATGGTGGCATCCAGATCCTAGGGTCATTGTGAGAGTGACATTAAATAATGCCTGTGCATTGCTGAGCTCAGTGCCCATCTTATAGGAAGTGTTCAGTAAAGGCTTGACAAATAATTACAATTTCTACTTAGGAACATGAGTCATTTCTTTAGGGATAAGTTTAATAAGGATATTTCTATTCATAGAAATATTATCAGGACTAACTTAAGGTAAGGTTGTTTGACCTTCCCAGGGGCAGACGGTTCCTGAATGTGAACTGTTCTTTCTCAGAGCTGCCCACTGTGGATGGCCAAGTGATTGCAGTTGCTCTCTCTTTAAAATATGGTTGTTTTCTGTCAAGGCTACACACTGGAATCACCTTGAGTGTCTTTAAAAAAATAATAATAAAGTGGGGACTGCCCAAACAGTGGAGTCAGGAGCTCATCAAATCCTCTCCCCAAAAAACAATAATGAAACTTGACAAAATTGTCAAAAAAGTATCATTTGAGGAGCCTGAAAATCAGCCAACATCGATCAAATTGAGAAGCATTTATTCAAGAAAAACTACTAAATTTAAGGAACGGACAGTGGGAATCTGTGATCTTCCGCAGCTCTACCCACGCAGAGCGTTTGGTGGAAACCAGCAACTTTGCTGCCAGAGGGCACTGCCTTGATTTCAAGTGGAGCTCAGAAAATTCAAAACAGAAGCAATCTTGGTTTCAAATTAGCAGGGAAGACCAACAGTACAACTAGACTGAGATTGCAGCTGTGGGAGGGGCAAACAAAAGAATGGCAAACTAAGAAGAAATTAACAGTGAGATCCAGGAATGGGCCAGCCACAGGGGACTTTGGTGAGCTCAGACAGTCCCTGATGGTCTGGAGGCATGCACATAGCTGGGTCCCTGAGCAGGAAACCAGAAAGAATACTAGCTGTCCACTTATCCATGGCTCACGCTGAGGCCACGTGGATACCCAAAAGAGACATGAGAAATGTGGCAAAAATCAAAAGCTGGAGAACATTTGTGGACTGCTTGAATTTTGAATGCCTTCTTCAACCACACACAGAGCCATCAACAAACAGTGGAAGACTTACTGGCTCAAGATGTTTGAGCACAAACCATGACCTATCATTGGTTGCCCACGAAGCTGAGCAGACAGAAGGGCAACCCCTGTAAAGCCAGGCTTAAAAATAAAAGCAAGAATGAAAATTAAAAACTGAGCCTAGGCATTAGCAGTCACACACCATAAGAAAGAAAGACTCCACAGATTAGCCCAAGCTAGTTACTAAACAAACAAGAACACAGTTTCAGCCAGGTGGGGTGTGGTGGCTCACACCTGTTAATTCCAGCACTTTGGGAGGCTGAGCGGGGAGGATTGCTTGAGTCCAAGAGTTTGAGACCAGCCTGGGCAATGTATCGAGACCTCATCTCTACAAAAAAAAAAAAATTAGTTTAAAAAAATTGGCCAGGGGGCCGGCTGCTGTGGCTCACGCCTGTAATCCCAGCACTTTGGGAGGCCCAGGCGGGCGGATCACGAGGTCAGGACATTGAGACCAACCTGGCTAACACGGTGAAACCCCGTCTCTATTAAAAATACAAAACATTAGCCAGACATGGTGGTGGGTGCTTGTAGTCCCAGCTACTCGGGAGGCTGAGGCAGGACAATGGCGTGACCCAGGAGGCGGAGCTTGAAGTGAGCCAAGAACACGCCACTGCACTGCAGCCTGGGCGACAGAGCGAGACTCCGTCTCCAAAAAAAAAAAAAAAAATTAGCCTGCCGTGGTGATAAGCCCCTGTAGTCCTAGCTACTTGGGAGGCTGAGGTGAAAGAATCACTTGAGCCCAGTAGGTAGAGGCTGCAGTGAGCTATGATTGTGCCACTGCACACCAGCCTGGGCAACTGAGTGAGACCCTGTCTCTAAAAATAAATATTTTTTTTAAATTTTTTTTTTTTTTTAGACGGAGTCTCCCTCTGTCACCCAGGCTGGAGCACAGTGGCATGATATCGGCTCACTGCAACTTCCCCCTCCTGGATTTAAGCGATTGTCCTGCCTCAGCCTCCAGAGGCAGGAGATTACAGGCTTGGATTACAGGCACTGGCCACCACGCCCGTCTAATTTTTGTATTTTTAGTAGAGACAGGGTTTCACCGTGTTGGCCAGGCTGGTCTTGAACTCCTGACCTCAAGTGATCCGCCTGCCTCGGCCTCCCAAAGTGCTGGGATTACAGGCATGAGCCACCACGCCTGGCCTAAAAATAACTAAATTTTAACTAAAGAACACAATTTTATAACTCCCCATGTTAATGTTGGGGACAGATCCTGCATCCTCAGAACCCAGCACAGTGCCCAGCACAATGCAGGTCTACAGAGAAAACGTTTGTTTAATAAAAATGAAATCATAAATACTTCATCCGCCTTCTTTTTTTTCTTCAGCATCTCTCCCTCCCACAAACACTCTTCTTTCAAATCCAGATAATTTATGGTTTTCATTTCCCTGCTTCTATTCAATTTTCCCTTAAGAGTATGTCACCTCTGATTAATAATCCCTATTTGTCATCATTATTACCCATCTTACAAGATCCATTTCTCAACCATCACTTCTCATCCTCTTCATCTTGTCCTGCTTGAGAACACTTCCCTGATTTAAAAGCCATTTATTTACAAGATTTCATTTACAATTTTCTTCAGGTAGGGCAATGGATATGCACACTCTGAGGATCTACATGTCCAGAACTATGCATCTTTTGCCTTGACGGGCATAGGATTTCTGGATCCTGGTTCATTTCCCTCAGTGAGCTAAAAAGTCTAGCCAGATTTCTTTTCTCTTCTAAGTAACCTGTTCTTTCTCTTCAGAATCTTAGCCATTTTTTTCCTTTGTTCTTATAATTCAGAAATTTCACCAGGATATTTCCAGGTGAGTTTCTTTGATTTTGTTTTTCATTAATTCTGCCCTGGGGATCAGTGGTTTTATTCAATCTAAATCAAGATTTTCTTAGGTTAGAAAAAGTTGCTCCTGGCCAGGCGCGGTGGCTCACGCCTATAATCCCAGCACTTTGGGAGGCCAAGGCAGGTGGATCACGAGGTCAGGAGATCGAGACCATACATGGTGAAACCCCGTCTCAACTAAAAATACAAAAAATTAGCCGGGCGTGGTGGTGGGCGCCTGTAGTCCCAGCTACTCGGGAGGCTGAGGCAGGAGAATGGCGTGAACCCAGGAGGCGGAGCTTGCAGTGAGCGGAGATGGCGCCATTGCACTCTAGCCTGGGGGACAGAGCGAGACTGTGTCTCAAGAAAAAAAGGGAAAAAGAAAAAAGAAGATGTTGCTCCTAATATATGCTGAACAATCACTTTTCTTCCATCTGTTCCTTTTTCACCTTCTGACTCTCCCACTACTCACATGGTATCATAGGATCTAAATTTTCACTCACGCTTTCCTTCTTATCATGACTCAGTTTCATCCTCCAGAATAGCTCTCTGGACCTCCTCAGTTAACACGCTCTTTTTTTGGTTTGTATACTAATTTCTTTATGATTCCAGAAATCATGCTTTGTAAATGCCAGATGTTTTCTGCAGCTGTGTCTCCTTGAGCGGTCTTGTTACTCTTTTGCACAGAGTCTCCTCAGACTCTGGTAGCTGGCCACCTGTCCCATGGACAGGCGGCTTCACTATGTCTGTGTCAGAATTGACTAGCAGCAGCTGTAGTTAGAAAGGAATGGTTGGGATTTGCATTTAAAACGCATTTTCACAACAAGCACACAGCTCTTACCTAGCTTGGAAGCTGGGGGCGATAACAGCAGCGGGCTGAAGTTGGGACAACCTTTGGCAGGGTCGCTGAATGGGCTTGCTCAGCTTGATCTTCCTCCCACAAGCTGCTGAGTCCATTTGAATAAGCTATTACTTCATTTGGTGGACTAGTCCTCCGCCTCTACAAACACCAGGTTATTTGTGCCCCAGAATGTAGCAGACCAACGCTGCCTTCTAGTGGCTTCATGGCCCCAGGAACCACGCATTTATCCAACCCTGACAACCTCCCTTACCCCAGCATCACTGACGTCCTGCCAGTCCTTGGGTTGATGGGGTCCACTCACCTGGGAATATTTCATTTGCCCCTATTTTTTCTTACATGCTTTCAGGGATATGAAATATAACTGAAAATTGTACACTATCATCTCTCTAAAAATCCTTCATTAACTTATATGTTCACAGCCTAATGTGGTAGCATTTTTCATTTATTTATTTATTTATTTTGAGACGGAGTCTTGCTCTGTCGCCCAGGCTGGAGTGCAGTGGCGCGATCTCGGCTCACTTCAAGTTCCGCCTCCCGCGTTCACGCCATTCTCCTGCCTCAGCCACCGGAGCCGCTGGGACTACAGGCGCCCGCCACCACGCCCGGCTGATGTTTTTGTATTTTTAGTAGAGACAGGGTTTCACCATGTTAGCCAGGATCATTTATTTCTTTCTAGGGTCAAATCTATGGACTTTTTTCTCTCTTTCTCTTTATTGTTTTTCCAATCACAAAAGCAATATGTGCGTAACAAAAGACAAAGCAATACACTTTTTTACAAAGAAAATATTAAAATTCTCCTATTTGCCCATACCTTTGAGATAATCATCATTAACAAACTTGGAATAGAAACATTAACTTTCGCCAGGTGCGGTGGCTCACGCCTGTAATCCCAGCACTTTGGGAGGCTGAGGCAGGAGGATCACAAGGTCAGGAGATTGAGACCATCCTAGCTAACATGGTGAAACCCCGTCTCTACTAAAAATACAAAAAATTAGCCAGGCGTGGTGGTGGCCGCCGGTAGTCCCAGCTACTCAGGAGGCTGAGGCAGGAGAATGGCTTGAACTCGGGAGGCGGAGCTTGCATTGAGCCGAGATCACACCACTGCACTCCAGCCTGGGCAACAGAGCAAGACTCCGTCTCAAAAAAAAAAAAAAAAGAAACATTAACTTTCAATTTTTATACACATATACACATTTCATATATACATATATAATGTATATATATCATTCATACTGATGTGCATATATTTTCATCTTACCAAGGCAAGTTCATTCAACTCATATACACATGAATATTCCACGACTTGTTTTATTTTTAGTTAAGAAGTAATAATTGTACATATTTATGGGATGTAGAGTGATATTACACATGTATACAATGTGTAATGATCAAATCAGGGCAATTAGCATATCTAGCACCTTGAATATTTATCACTTCTTTGTGTTGTGAACATTCAAAATCCCCGCCAAAATAAGATGTTTTATTTGGTAATCTCTAAGCCTCTTCTAGTCCTAATGTAATAATTCTATCATGGTGTTGCCCTAAAGTCTGTGTAAGGGTGATGGGAATAAGTAAGGTAATAGGAATAATAAGCCAAATGGTTCTTACTCACAGAAGGGGCTGATCCTGTGTCTTTCCAGCCCTAGAGCTGGGCCAAACCACTGGGAGGGTCTGGGTGCCAAATAGAACACTCAAGTTGATACTATGAAATCTGTTTTCTATCACCCTCTTCCTAGGTCTCATCTGTTAGGGAAAGGTGAAAGTCAGTGCCAGTGAGACTCAGAGGCAGCTGGGAGTTGTGGAGCTACAAGCATTAAGCTTTGAACTGTTTTATGGCCTTAAACATACCCCTTAGTGGCCGGGCATGGTGGCTCACGCCTGTAACCCCAGCACTTTGGCAGGCAGATCACGAGGTCAGGAGATGAAGACCATCCTGGCTAACACGGTGAAACCCCATCTCTACTGAAAATACAGAAAAATTAGCCAGGCGTGGTGGTGGGTGCCTGTAGTCCCAGCTACTCGGGAGGCTGAGGCAGGACAATGGCGTGAACCTGGGAGGCGGAGCTTGCAGTGAGCGCAGATCATGCCACTGCACTCCAGGCTGGGCAACAGAGCGAGACTCCATCTCAAAAAAAAAAAAAAAACACCCCTTAGCTACAGGCCCACTTGACATGTCTGATCTTTCTACATCAACACACTGTAAGTCTGCATAATTCCTTTCACCAATGTCCTGTCATTAGACATCCGTCGGTTTGCAGTTCTTTGCTGTGATGAACAATGGCTGTCCTGACCACCCTTAGACCTGTAACCATATCCACTTACTGATCAGTTCTGTAGGATCAATTGCTGGCGATGAGACTCTAATGTTAACTTGCTATGTAAGATATGGATACATATTGCCAAGTTACCCTCTGAAAAATAGTTTCTTTAATTACAAAAGAGTGAAAGAATAATGGGCTATGGCCTTTCTGGAGGGCCATCTGATGTCATTGCCCAAAATGTGAGGGGCCACTCTCATTGACGCAGCAATTCCACTTTGGGGAGTTGGTCCTACAGAAATGATTGCACCAGAAACTGTTTACTAAGGAACTACTGACACTGAAGCTTTGGGACCACTCACTTGTATGAACCTGTTAAAAGAAAAAACTTTAGACAAATTAAATTTAATACAGTTTAATTGAGCAAAGAATGATTCACAGATGGCGCAGCTCCCCCACCACTCCCTACAAGTCCCTCCGAACCAGAATAGGCTCAGAGCAGCTGCGGTGCTGCGCGTGGTCAAAGAGGATTTATGGATGGAAAGCGGAAGTGAAGCACAGAAACAGCTGGATTGGTTACAGCTTGGTGTTTGCCTTATTTGAACACGGTTTGAACAGTTGGCCGTCTGTGATTTGCTGAAACAAAGTGATTGGTACAAGAGTAGTTCACAATCGGTTGACACTCCCAGTTAGTAAACAGGTCACTGTATACGAAGAAATATTTAGGTCCAATTTAAAATAAGTAAGGAGACAGCTTTAGACTAAACTTATTTTAACACTTCACAGCTACTTTATATTTTTTATTACCAAAAGAATGACGCTCTCATATATGCCACAACATGAATGAACCTTGAAAATATTCTGCTAAGCAAAAGAAGCCAGAAACTAAAGGTCACATATTTTATGATTCCATGTATATGAAATATCCAGAACAGGTAAATCCATAGAGACGGAAGGCAGATTAGTGATTGCCAGGGACTGGGGGGAGAAGGGAATGGGGACTGACTGTTTAATGGGTGCAGGGCTTCCTTTGGGGATGATGGAAATGTTGGGGAATCATACAGGGATGATAGTTACACAACATTGTGAATGTACCAAACACCACTGAATTGTACACTTTAAAATGGATAAAATGGTGAATTTTATGTTATGCGTATCTTGTCACAGTAAAAGTAATTGATTGATTAATTTTTTTGAGATGGAGTCTCATTCTGTCTCCAGGCTGGAGTGCAATGGCTCGATCTCTGCTCACTGCAACCTCCGCCTCATGGGTTCAAGCAATTCTCCTGCCTCAACCTCCCGAGTACCTGGGATTACAGGCATGTGCCACCACGCCCAGCTAATTTTTGTATTTTTAGTAGAGACAGGGTTTCACCATGTTGGACAGGATGGTCTTGATCTTTTGACCTCGTGATCTGCCCGCCTCGGCCTCCCAAAGTGCTGGGATAACAGGCGTGAGCCACCGCACCTGGATGATTAATTCATATTTTAAAAAGGGCAGTGGGCCAGATTTGGCCTGAGGGCCACAGTTGCTGCTCCCAGGTCTGTAGCCACACTGCTGATCTGTGTGACGGCAGGTTCCTTAGTCTCGCTGTGCCTCAGAAGGTTGTGTGAGGATGAGAACAGTTAATACTTACAAAGGGCTTAAAGTAGTGTTTGGAACATAGGACATATGCCAGAGATGCTCGGTGTTATCATTGCTGTTGTTGTTAATAGTAAACCTCTTAGAGTCATGGAGCCCTTTGAGGATTTAAGGAAAATTATGAACCCTCTAAGAAAAAACAATGCGCCTATGCATACATGAGAAAGTTCCACAAGGTTACAAGCCCAGGCAGAGCCAGGGGCCTAACTTCGAACGCCTAGATATCTGTGTCACCCAGCTGACACCATCAACAGGATTTAGTGGCTGAGAGAGAAAAGAGGCCCCAGGAGTCTCCACCTGGGAAGGCACAGCCATCAGGAGGAGGCCAGAGGAAACAGAAATGAAGGTTGAGGGGGTGCCTGAGAAGAGGACAGGAGGGTCTCAGAGTCAGACTCTGCCCAGGTGGTGGTTTATCTAGACACTGCTATGGCTGGGTTCCCCTGACCATTCACAGTGGCTAGCTGCACCCAGGACACAGCAGGCTGGGGGGCAGGGCTGCTGGCACCCTTTGCCTTAGACAGAGCTAGCATGACAGTGAGGTGACACCGATATGGGAATGCCATCCAGGAGGGCCTTCCAGCAGTTATCCAGACCGCATCAACTCTAATGTCTTATTTTCCATATTCTGTGTGCACTGACATTTGGAGCCCTGATCCTGGAGAACCTGCCCCTCCAGGGCAAGCTAATTCCTGGAGATAGCACGTGTCTCCCTGCAAGCACCCCTGTGATATGCAAGTCAACCAGTCCAGAGCCCACACCCCACTATCTCCTTCCCCAAACTCTCCACACCAAGCCAGTATTTCCTTTAAGCCACCCAGGACCAGGAACCAGGCAATAAAGACCACCCTATGGCCCAGAGCCCACCAAAGTTATTCAAACTTGTCAATCCTAAGGTCACCATACCCATCCCTTCCTGCAAAAACCCCAAAAAAGGCTCTGGTCCACACTGTCCCCTCTTGCCTCTCTCTGCCTCCTGACCAACCCTGGTGCTTGCCGCATGCCCCTGCATGGCACGATGGCCGTACCTCTTCTTCCTAGGGATTTGTAAATATGAACTTCTTCCCTCATGACAGTCATTTCTGCATCTGCATGTCTTACTACACTTGATTAAAACAAATCCCAGGTACAGATTTTAATACACATACCTCACAGCTATACTGGAACTGGTCATCACACACACAAAGGAATTGGACCTCAGACTAGCTCCATGATGATGGGAATAAAGGGCTGGATGGTCAAGTGCTATCCACATATCACACGTGTCCAGGCCATGGCCAATAAGCCACTGGTATTATATCTTGCAATGCAAGATGTGAAAACAAGAAGTTTGGAATGAAACATCCAGCAAGAGACCTCCAGTTCTCTATTTACTGGTTCCTGTTTCTTCCCTCCCCACACAGGCCTGTAGGTACATCATTGTCACCCCCTTCTCACCCCACCAGACCCTCTACTTCCAGAAGGAATCTTCCTGGGGCTCATCTGTGAATGTAGATTGGAGCTTGAAATTCCCAGGGCTCTGTACTCAGGAGAAGGGTTAGGTTTCTAGTTTACAGCAGTGCCTATCACTGGGGAGGCTTTCCTTGGCCTGTTTGGCAGATAAGGTTTTTAAATAAATATAGACCTGATTGTCTTCTACAAGATATTTTGTCTGTCTGTGCTGTTTCTTTTTTTCTCTCCTTTACATCTCTTCTTTTGGGTCCCAGAGTCCAGTTGGTATGTACACCTCTACTAAGTGTACAAGATGCTCAGTAACCCCTGGGGCTCCCCTTCTCTTTTGGGTGGCAACATCAGGAAGGAAAAAAAATAAAATTCAAAAAGTGAAGTGGCATAAATTCCCTGTTTCAAAATAAGGAGAAAGAAGAAATGCTCGGGGTAGTAATAACTGTATTGATGATAATGGTAATAATAGCTTCCATTGAGTAAGTGTGCTTTTGTCCTAAAAGCTATGCGGGGGGGCATCCCTGCTTAAATTCTTGAAACCAGCTCCCCTTAATGGGTTCCCCGCTCTGCTCCTCCACCCATTGGGACCCTGGGCCACGGGCAGCTCTTGCAGCCTCTGCTCCTCCTTCCAGAAGTAGGGTCTTGCAGGGGCTCTGACCTGAACACATGTTCTATTGTCTCTTCCTCTTTCAGATAAACTCCTTGTATTGGTAGGGGAATGAATAGTGGAAGTGCTTGGGGCTTGGGCAGAGACATGTGCTGAACATCTCACTTTAGTAAGAGCTTGAGTCGGACAGCCTGGGTTCAAATCTTAATTCTGCCACTTTCTAGCCATGCGGCCTCTGTCTTCCCAATCAAATCAAAGATAAAGTCAAGATCAAAATGTGGACATCCCTATACTTATAGATTAAAACCTTATTTGAACTAGGAAGAGCATAAATGCTCATTCCTTAAAGTGGAACAAATTGTTAATTGTGCAAGATTCTATATTAGTAGATTAAGTAAGTGTTTACAGAATTGCTATAAGCCAAGTGGAGTAACACCACATAAGAAATAGTTTGATAACCTTTCTCTTGGAGTCTTGCTAATGGCTTCAATAAAGGCTGAGGCATCACATGTAGCCAAAATAACTTTCACAGGAGAGAAAGAAAAGGAGGAAAGAGGGAGGAAGGGAGGGAGGAAGGGAGGGACGAAGGAAGGGAAACTAACACCTAGTGATCTGTTAGCTGCTAATTATTCAAGTTTCTCTATATTTTCTTAAGTGGAAATATACAAATATGTATATAACTTCACTTCTGTGATTTCAGTATACTCCTTAGAAACATTTTTGTTGAGTTTTTTCTCTTTAAATTGTTGATTTTATATAGGTGGGACCCTGCATGACGGTTTCAGAATTAACTCCTCTCTTTCCTTACCAAAAAAAAAAATTTCATCTCTAAAATTTGGTTCTGCTATTAAATAAGGCATCCAGCTTAATGTAAAGGGGCTTATTAAAACACTTTCACAGACTCAACATTAAATATCACTTCAGCAGGATAACATCTGAACATCAATATTAGATGAGCTTGACATGTATAATGTAAGTTATAAATTTATACTCCACTGAACCAAGTAACGGGTGTGCAATTAGTAGCATAGTTAAAGGATTTGATAAAAACCAAAGCTATTTTTGTTATCAGATGAGTGAGGATTCTAAATGTTTTTCCTAAGGACAAAATGTGCTCCTCCATCATGGGATAAGAGCCACTCTAAAATGAGAAGTCGATCTCACTTGGATGCATTTTATTGGAAAACACTCACCGGGGTCAATTCCTGCTCCAACTGGTAGAGAACTCAGCAGACCATGATATGTCATCACCAGATTCCATTCAAGGATTAATGGCTCCAAAGAACCAGATGCCTCTCTAAGTCTTCCTGTAATGTTACACCCAAGTGTAACTCGTCCCACCATTCCAGTCCCCTTTACACACCAAGGTGCAGAGACTGGCTTTTCACAAGTCACAGGGGAATAGGGCACATGGATAATCCAGCCTCTGCTCTAAATCATCTCTCTTGGTTCAGGCCAAGTCATAGTACTTGTGGGACCTGCCAAAACAGAAGCTCGCCTTCTCTGGGGAGGGTGGGGTAGTACGAGATGGGATTTGTTTAGAGCCATCTCTCACCACGAGGGAAGGCTACAATGTCCCTGGAAAGATATTGTCTGGTTCTGGTACTAATTTGGCTCAAATGACCTTGAAAGGTTAAGGGATTTCTGTAACTCCTCCACTCCTTATATAGGGGCTGCAACAATGTGATTTCAGGACAGCATCTGTGGCCTTCCTGAGCCGGACCTGAGGAATCAAGAGCAGGCCCGGGAGTCTTGCCCTCCTTTGCACCCTAGCCGGGTATCACCTGCAAATTCATCTTTAAGGTACAGTACATTGAGCTTGTGTTGTCAAGTGTGGGAACATCTTGCAACTTGGGCTGAAAATTGAAACAGACATCACCCCTTATATGTGTGTCCTTTATTGACCACTTGAATTCATTTTCTCTTCACCTTGAACACCTACGCTGTACCAGTTGGGAATAACAGATGGGCCAGTAGATTTTTTTCCATCTCTGATGTTTTTCCATCTTTTCCTAAATGTCAATGATGCAGAAATTTCATGTTAAAGAGTGTGGAAAAAGCAAGAAATTCGGGTAAATCTCACAGAGCAAGGCTTTTTGGAGATTAACCAAAATAAAGATATGTCTCATGTTGGTTGATGGATAATTTAGTCCCAAGGAAATGTTCATTGTAGATGCTGGATCATGGAAGCTTCTCAGGAAGCTGATGGTGGGGTGATTAATCATGAATTTGGGGTTTTTACTTGACTAACCTGAGACCTGGGAAATTCAACTGTAGAATTCCCTTTCGTCTGAGTTGATACAGTTGACTCTTCCCTAGCCCCTCATCAGATAGACTCAAGTGCATGAGCCTCACACAAAGTCAAGCTTCAATAAATGTTATTTGATTAAATTGATATTTAATTTTTATTATAAAAGTGAGTTCTAGCACTCTTTAAGTGTAAGTTAATTAGAAAAGTAAACTTAAGAACTGCTGTTGGAATTATGACTTTTCCAAATTGGTAACATTTTACTGAAAATAGAACTAATCCTCTCAAGAGATGTACACTGTAGAAAAAACTACTTTTGCTGGGGGTGGGGGGGGATGCAGAGAAACAGAATTGCTTATTTATCGAAGAACAGTCTCCTTTTGCTAAAGCCTAATTATTGATATTTGCCCTTCACATATGTGCAAAGCAACTAGATACCCTCATTTGAAGGTGAAAAAACTGAAACACAAAGCCCCTGTAATTTTGAAGATACAGATTATTCCCTTGAACTTGAGGCTGATGATTTTTTCCTGACTATTAGAGCCAGATGGACCTCAATGAACCTGTAGATCAAACACCTCAACTCACAGATGAGAAGACTTACGTATCTTTTCCAAACTCTTTTAAAAAAAATAACTATTCAAAAAAGTGAATGAAATTCATAAAATAAAAAACATCAAAATGTATTTTAGAAATAACTGTATGTTAGTATTAATATGGTAACTCTAAGCCAAATATAGCATTCAAAGCAAATAGGAGAAACAAATTTTAATTGACCATTTAAAATAACTATCTACAGTTAGGACTTTGAACATTTTTTTTTTTTACTTATCTCAAACTATGTATATGTCCTATTAGCATAAGAATGCAATGAAACTGATTAATGTTTATGTTTATTTAAATTATAATTATTTTTTATTTTTGATGCAAAATTGAACTGAGAAATGTATTGGTTACTTCTCTATGGGCCCTGCCATGACTCATCAATTCATTAATTCAGCACGGTATTTTTTTGAGTTAGAAAAGCCAATTGTTTTCCAGGGTCTGTCTTAAGGTGGTCCATTCAGATATGTTCTCCTGAGTCCAAGACCTAAACCTGTGCTTGTCTTTTCATTAAGAGGTGAATACATTGACAGCCCATACTGTTATGTCATTGAGACTGAAAGGACCTCTACAGAAGAAGTTCTGCTAAGTCCACAAACATTCCAACACTTCCGTGACAGCAGAAGGCAATATGGAATTATGCTGTAAACATTTCAGGGTACCTGGACTTTGACCTGCAATTATACTTCTAGGAGTTTATGCTACAGATGTACTTACAGATGTGAACAAAACATGATTTACTCTGGAATTTTTTGTAATAGACCCAAGCAGGAATTAATTCAAATGTCCATCCATGCTAGAATGGTTAATTATGGCATATCCATAAACAGATTACTACACAACCATGAAAAACAATGTATGCTGACAAGCAAATATTTTCTTAGTTGAAAAAGGCAAAATGCAAAACAGTGTTTATTGTATGGCCCTGCTTGCAAAAACAATATTTTGTACACATACGTACGCATATATATGCTTCCAATAAGATGGAAATACAAATATGACATCATTAACAGTGGGTGTCTTTGGGAAGTGTTGCTGACTGCAGTAAAGTAAAATGGGAAACACTTCTTTATTTCATATCCTTCAGTGCTTTTTGAAATATTTTACCATGTGCACAAAACGACGTTCACATTTTTAAAAACAGAGTCTTAAAGGAGCATCTTTGCTAACAGTGTAAAACTTTGTAACTCTTGGCCGGGAGCAGTGGCTCACGCTTGTAATCCCAGAACTTTGGGAGGCCGAGGCGGGCGGATCACGAGGTCAGGATATTGAGACCATCCTGGCTAACACGGTGAAACCCCGTCTCTACTAAAAAATACAAAAAAATTAGCCGGGTGTGGCGGCGGGCGCCTGTAGTCCCAGCTACTCAGGAGGCTGAGGCAGGAGAATGGCGTGAACCCGGGAGGCGGAGCTTGCAGTAAGCCAAGATTGCGCCACTGCACTCCAGCCTGGGCAACAGAGCGAGACTCCTTCTCAAAAAACAAACAAACAAACACCTTTTTAGGGTGAGACCACTACTACACTCAGAGTCTCTCGCTATACTCAAGAGTATTTTTTAGTAGAGACGGGGTTTCACCCTGTTGGCCAGGATGGTCTCGATCTCCTGACCTCGTGATCCGCCCGCCTTGGCCTCCCAAAATGCCGGGATTACAGGCGTGAGCCACTGCGCCCGGCCAAAACTTTGTTAACTCTTTGACCAAATTATGCTGGGGATTTTCTTTGAATAAATGATGGCATGCAGTAATTTCCATGAGCATCCCAAATATGTAGACCATCCCAAGAAAAGGGAAACAAAGGGAGAAGCAGCCTAAGAGAGGGAAGCCGAAGCCCCTAGGAGCCCCCTGCTCTTTGCTTCCCTGGGCGCTTCCCTCCACACCTTCCCGAGGGTGCCGAGTGTGCCGTTCTTCCAGATGCCTAACTGCGTCCTCCGGGGGCTGTTCCATTTAGACCTGGCTGCCTCTCTGGGGTGCCTCAAATTTCTGAGGAGTTACACTTGATTGATGGAAAGCACACAGTGTGGGGCAGGAATGTGGGACATCCACCCCACAATTCTATTCTCACTCAACAGGATGACAGAGATCACTCATGAGCCTTCGTTCCAGGTAGTCCATTTCTAAAAGTAAACAATGTTTCTGAAAACGCAGCTATTTTGGGAAGTCAGTTCCTGGCTAGAGCGCACTCTTAAGAAATATACATAGCCCGTTTCCGGTTCAGGAAAAAAGTAACATTCATTAGTGAAGGCCAAATAGCCACTGGACTGGCAGTTTGGTGAAGCAGAGGGGAGAAACAATATGTTAGCCAATTTTTGTATTTTAGCCACCTTGCCTTTTTAAAAGCTTTTAATAGGAGCAGAATATAACATTTTCTAGAGAAGTAATTGCTTTTAGCTCTAAATTCTTTGGAGAATTTTGACTGGCAAGTGGCATGAGGGGATGACAGGTTCTTTGTCCACTGAGCACACTGTGTGAAGGGGACCATTTTTTAAAAAAATTATTTTATTTAAGAGCGGAGTCTCACTCTGCCACCCAAGCTAGAGTGCTGTGGCACGATTTCAGCCCACTGCAAGCTCCGCCTCCCCAGTTCAAGCGATTCTCCTGCCTCAGCCTCCCGAGTAGCTGGGATTACAGGCATGGGGCACCATGCCTGGCTAATTTTTGTATTTTTAGTAGAGATGGGATTTCACTGTGTTGGCCAGGCTGGTCTCGAACTCCTGATCTCAGGTGATCCACCTGCTTCAGCCTCCCAAAGTGCTGAGATTACTGGCTTGAGCCACCGCACCGGGCCAAGGGCACCATATTAAGTAAGGTCCTTGCCCCACAGTAGTTAAGGGTCTAGTTGAAGGGACAAGATTATGGGGTCAAAGCCCAAGAGAAAAGAGACCTGCCTCGGCTCCTGGTCCCAATCCAAACAGGCATAGAGGCAAACCCAGGAGCATCTCTGTGCATGGCAGAATGAGCTTAAGGACCTCCCAGTTCCCTTCTAGTCACAATTAAGTGACTAGACATCAAATTGAACAGCCTGGTTGTGACCAATAAAACTGCAGTGGTTAACAGTAACCGGGGAGGGGTGGTGCTTTCTCTAATTGCTTTCACTTTGTTTTATTTCGACTCTATGTGCACCCAGTGTATGTTTCTCCAGGAAGCTAAGGCATAGTTAGCTACATGGTCCATGGGGAACTCAGAAGTTTTCTCTATTAATCCATATGGACCTCAAAAACTAGTGACCCAAAGGCCAAGTCCAGCCAACAGACATATTCTGATGCTCTGCACAGAGCTTTGAAATGTCTGTAAATTATCATCAACATTTAAAAATAAAGAAATTACATAATGTTTTAAAAATCAGATTTCCAGCTTCTTTTGAAAAACTTGAATATCAGGTAACTCTGGGACCATGCCCCATGGGCAATAGTTGCTTGGAGTTGAGTGGCAGTGTCTGTTTGAAACAAGCCATGCATTCAAGAATTTGCCACAGAGCCTTCTAAACACACCAGGACTCCACAGGCTTCCGAGCTTGTGGCCTCTGACCTATCAGTAATCTACATAAGGATATAAATTAGGCAGTCCAGGATTTTATTAAGCACTTATTGTGTCAGGCAAAACATTTTTCACAGCAGCCTTTTCCACTGAAAACTGGTTAATTGGGAAAGTACATGTTGTTCCATTTTACAGATGAGAAAACAGAAACTTAGTTCAAGTAACTTGCCCTGTAAAGAGTGTGGGGGGGTCTCCTAACTCCTAGTCCTGGACACATGACACAGGGCTAAACAGCAGGACGCTGCTGGCTCCAGGACGGAATATCTCTTTGTGCACTGAAAATGTTCCTCAGGCAAACAATGCTCCTTAATTCCTGTCTGCTGATGGTGTCAGGAAGATGCATGTGCTTTTTACTTTTTATTTCAAAATAATTCTAGATTTAGAGAAAGTTACAAAGATAGTACAGAGTGTTCCCATATACCTGTCACCTAGCTTTCTCTAATATTAACATCTTACGTAGCCATGGTACATTTATCAAAACAATAAAATTAGCATTGGTACAATAAAATTTACTGCAGAATTTATCAGATTCAGTCTTCCACTACTTATTGTCTGTTTTTCCTGTTCCAGGATTCAATCCAGGATGCCACGTTGCATTTATTGGTGTATATATCTATCAATCATATCTCCTTATTCTCCTCCAATCTGTGACCGTTTCTCAGTCTTTATCTTTCATGACCTTGACACTTCTAAATGAACAGTGTTCACATATTTTGTAAAATATTCCAGAATTTGAGCTAGTCTTCAGTTTTCTCATGAATAGACAGCATTCTGGTGTTGGGAGAAGTGCATCATAGAGTCAGCGTGTCACATCATGTCACATCAAGGGACACATGATATCCACAATACTTATTAGTAGCGCTGAGAGCCTTAACCACACTTATTTAAGGGGGTATTTGTTTCTCCACTGTAAAGTGACTACTTTCCCCTCGGTCACCAAGTCATCCCAGACTGAAGGGGAGGGGGACTTAACTCCACCTTCTAGAGAGAGGGGAGTATCAGACAATTTGTGATCGTATGTTAAAACCACCACAGTAATTATTAAATTTTTAGAGACATATCTTTGATGTCATG
Source organism: Homo sapiens (assembly GCF_000001405.40). Lineage (NCBI taxonomy): Eukaryota > Metazoa > Chordata > Mammalia > Primates > Hominidae > Homo > Homo sapiens. The sequence goes on along the minus strand of NC_000009.12, from coordinate 38,714,366 downwards.
CAAGCATTGTGTTCCTCCTTAAAATGTCATCCACTCATTTTTACCACTGATCAATGGATTCTGCCTGCAATAATTATTACTGTGGTGTTCTCATGGTGATTTTCTCTTTTCCTCATTCTTTCTACACTTATTCACTGGAATTCTTCTGAAAGTAATAGTTGTTTTTTCTCCTCCATTTGTTTATTTCAATAATTTCTATCAATTTGAATTCATTCTTTGGGTTGTAACTAACATCATGTTGTTTATTTTGTTGTGCATATTGTTCCCTCTTTGGATATTGAGAACTCTCCAGTTGACTAATTCTGCAATGCCCTTCACCTATTTTTTTAAGCCTCTGTTACTTTGTGACACTACAAAATGTGTTCAGGGTTTATTTACAGAGATTGGGGCTCTGCATAAGAAGTTGTGAGGGGGAGGGCAATAAATGGAAGAGAAACAAAGTAAATAGCAATTTTTCTCTTGAAAGGAGATAAAAGTAGTGCTTACTTTTTAACATTCATTTGGCAGTAATTTCAAAATTACAGAAAAAATAATTCAAAGAATTCCTCTATAGCATCAGCCAGATGCACCTATCATCACCATTTACCTTGCTTATCATTTGCCTTGTCAATCTATATCTTTTCTAAATCACATGAGAGAAGTTGACGCATCATAATCTTTCCCCTCTAAATGCTTCAGTGGCTACCTCCCAAGAACACAGTCATCTTCTTACATAATTACAGCACACTCATCAACTTTGGGAACTCCATAACACTGATGCAATCCTGTAATTGTCCGTGTTCCAGTTTTGTCCATTGATTCAATACTGACCTTTACAGCATTTTGAAATCTAGTTCTTGAACAGATGATGAAATCTAGTTCTTTTTTTTTTTTTTTTTTTTTTTTGTTTGAAACGGAGTCTCACTCTGTAGCCCAGGCTGGAGTGCAGTGGCGTGATCTCGGCTCACTGCAAGCTCTCCCTCCCAGGTTCACGCCATTCTCCTGCCTCAGCCTCCCGAATAGCTGGGACTACAGGCGCTCGCCACCATGCCCAGCTAATCTTTTGTATTTTTAGTAGAGATGGGGTTTCACCGTGTTAGCCAGGATGGTCTCGATCTCCTGACCTCGTGATCCGTCTGCCTTAGCCTCCCAAAGTGCTGGGATTACAGGCGTGAGCCACTGCGCCCGGCCGAAATCTAATTCTTGAACTAGACTGATGTTTATGAGCCTACTCATCATGATCCCTGGAGTGGTACCTATCACTCCTCTACTGGGTGAGGTTCCTATTTGATTTAGTCAGCAAGGCTCCCTGAGCCCACTCACAACCTGGCAGGATTGAGCACGCAGAATGGACCTGGATGGATCCAAGCGAGACCCTTGCAGAGCATCTTAGAATAATTTTAGTCTATGATGACAGATGCTAACTAGTCTTTATTTTTCTAGGGCACACGAACTTTTCCCTAAATGAAGGAGGGAAGTGGCTCAAACTGTGGGGGGTGAAGACAGGACTTTTGGCATCAGACATTGTGGGTTCACAGCCCAGTATCAGCACTGACTGATTCTGTGACTTAGACAAGAATTTAAACCTTATTACCCCTGGCTTCTTGTCTGGTTACAGGGAAAATAATAAGATTTATTTCCCAGAGCTCTTAATATCATTAAGTGAGATAATTTTAAGATCATATTAGCAATTGCCAAATGTGATTCATTGTTCACTGTCACTTCTGTGATGTCAGCACCCAATGAATAGACATTCTGGGTGCTGTGAAATCAGCAGGTCTGGACTCCTGGCTCTCCCCATCATTAGCTCTGGAGCTTGGGGAAAGTCAACCTCTCAGATTCACTTTCTCGCTCACGAATACAGGAATAGTAAAATCTAGCATAATATGCTGAGGATTAAATGAGATGGCATTTGGTACTGTCTGCAATGCAGGTTGCTAATAGAAATATAGATAATGATGATGAGACACATTTAATATTGAGCAGATACTATGTTAAGTACTTTTCATGCTCCAATGTCTCATTTAATTCTAAGACCAATGCATTTTTCATGTGATAAAAGAAAGCTTCATAATGGTCATATGGACTAAAAGTCACAGGGACTTCTCTCATAATTGTGTGTCCCTCTTTCATGACTTGGTGTCACTGCAGTGAATTCAGGTAAGCTCTGAGGGAATAACAGGGCTGAGTTATTGTGGACACGTCCAGTATAAGCTTTTTTCTCCTATGTAAGTCCTTTTTTAGTTAAAACTCCAAGCTACCCAAGAACTCAGTCATATTGCCCAGACGATGTTGTATTTCCCCTGAGCCTCCTCCTAAGACTCAAATATACTGCCGGCAAAATCTGAGGTGGCTTTGAAGGATGTTAATTATAAGGAGATTGTGCAGAGGGACTCAAGACTGAAATTCAAGTAGCCTGATGGAATTTTGGAGGGGAAGTTAAAAAGAAAATGTCTGTAATCCCAGCACTTTGGGAGGCCGAGACGGGCGGATCACGAGGTCAGGAGTTCGAGACCAGCCTGACCAACATGCTGAAACCCCATCTCTACTAAAAACAAAAAAAATTAGCCGGATATGGTGGCACGTGCCTATAATCCCAGCTACTCAGGAGGCTGAGGCAGGAGAATTGCTTGAACCCTGGAGGCGGAGGTTACAGTGAGCAGAGATCGAGCCACTGAACTCCAGCCTGGGTGACAGAGGGAGATGCTGTCAAAAAAAAAAAAAAAAAGAAGAAGAAAGAGAGAGGGAGGGAGGGAGAGAGAAAGAGGGAGAGAGAAAGAAAAAGAAAATGTTTTCTGAAAAGGTGTTAAGCCAAGAAACTAAGGAGAGCACTCCCACATTGCACTCCAGCTTCCATCTGAGAAGGTGAAAGAGGAACGGGAGGAAGCTCAATCTGCCCTCTGTCCAGTGGGGCCTGAAGGTGGGGTGGGAGGAGAAACCCGTCCAAATGCATACGGGCCACAGTCAGGTGGAGCCATCTTAGCTCCCAGACCTAGAAACTTTGGACCTAAAGGTATTTTCACCTTGGGTGAAAAAGACCACCTGAGTGGAAATGGAGTGACAGTGAGTCCCCTGCACCTGTGGAAGCAGAATCTCCATGTGAGGGGGCTAAACAAACACGTTTGGTGCTGGTGTCAGAGGGAGTCTAGTTTTTGTTTGTTTGTTTATCCTTACCATGACCCACTTGAAACTGGCCACAGCGAGCACTTCGACAGAAAGTGCGGAGAGGAAAAGGGATGTGTGTCTTGATGTGATGCGCAGAGAATCATCTTGGGAGAAAGTTAATCTAGTTCTGCTTTGAGAAAGCAGTGATGACTTGCACATTGCTCTCAACAGATTTAACTGGATGCCTGCTTTCTCGGTATCCAGCTGTTGTCATGAGCCGCCATCTCTCTGTCCCGTGGCTGGGTGGTTTGCTGGTGATGACACGGGCTTGGGAGTTGGGTTTGGTTTAAATCTTAGCTCTATCACCATCAACAAGGTGACTTCGGGCAGTGGCTTGCCTCTTTGTACGTCCTCTGTAAAATGAGGATAAGAAGACGCTTGTTGTGGGAATTGAAGGTGAGATGTAGAGCACTTTGAAGAATAAAAGGCATTCCATAAGCACTCAATAAAGAGCATAAAAATAAGCCAGAGACCACAGACCTGCAGCCCACCAGCCAGTAGGCAAAGATACTGTGGGCAGTTTTGTCTGACCACTTAGTGGGGGCAGACCTGCTCCATTTCTGAACTCACTTCCACGCCCTGTCGTTGCAGGGCTGAGTTTCATTGGCCAAAACCAATGCATTTCCCCCCACTGCCTATACTTTAAAAAGGAGAACTATTGCCCTCTACCCATGAGTTTATAAAAACTGGGGAAACAAAAAGATAAATGCAGTAAACCTGATTTTTAGAGGTGGGAGTCAGAAGCAGATAATATTCCTAAGTGTTTATTATAAAAATAACCAGAATAACTCAAGTATGTGGCCTTCTGGACACTACAGTTATTTAAATTTCCTGCTCCTGCTTTTTGAGCCCCTGGGGAATGGAAGACAACACAGTTATCTGGGTTCTAAGAAAAATAAATGATCTTATATTCTGAGAGAATCTCAGGTTTAGAGGGAATTTAAAAGACATCAAGGCCGAGCGCTGTGGGCTCACACCTGTAATCCCAGCACTTTGGGAGGCCGAGGCAGGCGGATCACGAGGTCAAGAGACTGAGACCATCCTGGTCAAAGTGGTGAAACCCTGTCTCTACTAAAAATACAAAAATTACCTGGGTGTGGTGGTGTGCACCTGTAATTCCAGCTACTCAGCAGGCTAAGGCAGGAGAATTGCTTGAACCCGGGAGGCGGAGGTTGCAGTGAGCCGAGATCGAGCCACTGCACTCCAGCCTGGCGACAAAGCAAGACTCCGTCTCAACAACAACAAAAAGACATCAAGAGCACATACACGCTCCCCTGAAAAGTCTCTTCTCTTCCATCTGCATACACATGGGATGAAAGTAGCAAGTGGAAACTTAGAAGGCACGTGAGTGTGCACCTCTGAAATTGAGTTTATAAACAAAAATCAATTGCACAACAATAGAATGGAGACACCTGAGTTTGAAAAGTTGCTCATGTAAAAAATAGGAGCTTAATCTTACAGATCTTTAGAAGTGGCTTAGGAGGGTTCAGGTACCTAATGGGTTTATGTGTCTGCACATTGCTTAGTATTTCTTATTTCTGTGACAATAAAACCCTACTGGTCCATCCCACAGGAGATCACAGCGGCTTTCCCTTCTTCCCGACCACACAGAGAGAACAACTTGAGAAAGCAGCGCCTTTCCACTCTCATTTGAGCCCCGACGGGGGCACCACCATATGCATATGGCATAGAGCTAATGATTGTCTCTGCCTGGGCCAGGTGCAGAGGCAGAGAGAGCCACTGTTAGTGCCTAGGTTTTCCATCAATACCGCCAGGGAAATGTAAACATCTTTCATTTCCTGTTTCCTGCCTTATTTTGGTGTTTTCCTAAAAATGCTTTTCTAAAATTGCTATCAATTCTGTTCAAAGAGGGCCATACCAGCTACAGTGAGCCTGGTAAATGGGAGCAATAAATATAAAACAAGTTTTTTAAAAGTGGAAGGAAGAAGATGGCACAGCTCATCTCAAACAAAATGCACTTTCTTTTACAGAAGTTCTTGCACCTGCTGAAGTTCAGATTCACCAGCAGTTTTCAGCAAAACAAGCAGTGAGGCTGTGAAATAACATGGAGGGGTTGAGGCCAAGAGTCAGCACAGTGGCAACTGTCAATTTTAGTAAGACAGTCACTCCTTAAACATGTTCAGCATCACTCAGTAAATGTGATTATAGGGCCTGACCACAGAGAGCCCACAAATATAACATCCTAAGTGATGTAAGGGTGAAACTCATCACCAAGAGCTTTGCTAAAGGCTTCACTGGACGTGGTCCAGCACTGGGTCTGGGACAAGACGGGAAGCCTCTTATCCCCATGATCTAAGGCTTTCTAATTCTTACAGCCCAGCAACAGAGATAAATAAGCCTTCAATATGAGCTGAGTCAATAAGAAGCAAAGCATTTGATATCACGTATAAACTAAAGACAAGGAGACTGTATTTAGGTGGTGGTTCAAATTCAGTTAGCACTTTTGATGCTTGCCAGGGATCAGGAGATGCATTGTGAGTCCCCTGAACAAGCATGTGGCATGTGGGGAGGGGCATTTGGGGAATGAATGGTGGGCTGTGTTGGGGGCACTTTCCTGTATGTTACCACACTTCATCTCCACTTCATGGCTAAGCAAAGGGGCTCCGAGCAAGTGAAGGGCTTTCTTGCTCAAAGTCACAACAGTGCAAGTCCTCCACTGAGCTTTCTCTCCATCCTGGTTGTCAGGATGCAGCCTCCTGGCCTGACAGGGGAGGTAGGGATGCAGCTGTGTTTCGCAGGCAGGACAGCTGTGTCTACATGACCCCTAGTGAGTGGGCTGTGGCTTGGTGAAGAACTCCAATCCCGGTTCCTGCTGGAATGACAGCAATAGCGAGCCTGAACAGCCAGAGTGGTATCTGCATGCTTGGGTGCAGAAGCAGGATAGGGGGCTGCCCCATGAGACAGCGTAGGAAGGAGGAAAGCATAGAGAAAGCAAAATAGTTCAGGGTGCCCTGCAGCGAGAGCACAGGGAGGAGGTTTCGAGAAAAGCTAAGGAAGAAAGACATAGGTTCTACCTGCAGATAGAGAATGCATCCACTAGGAGGGGCAGGTAGGTAGCCCTCTGACTGCATCCAGCCAAACGCCATGTTTTCTTTGGCCAGTGTGGTGTTGGACCCTTTTGGAATGCATGTCTTGAAGCAGAGCACGTGCCCTTCAAGACCTAGTGCCACTGCTCCCAGTGGCTTCAGTCCTTTGGGATGCTTATGGATCCCTGAAGACGTCTGAGTTCATGTCCCCTCCTAAGTCCTTCCAAAGTTCATGCCCACTACTCTCAAGCTACTCTATGAAAACAGAGACCCTATAAGTGTTTTTTGATCAAAAAGGAATGAGAAGCAGAGCTGGCATGCATCAGATACTTCATAGCCTGATTTCCTTTGGGTTCACCCTAATTTTTTTTTTTTTTTTTTTGAGACCGAGTCTTGCTCTGTTGCTCAGACTGGAGTGCAGTGGCGCTGCCTCAGCTCACTGCAATCTCCACCTCCCAGGTTCAAGCGATTCTCCTGCCTCAGCCTCCTGAGTAGCTGGGATTACAGGCATGTGCCACCACGCCCAGCTAATTTTTTGGTTTTTTTTTTGTTTTTTTTTTTTGTTTTTTTTAGTAGAGACGGGGTTTCATCGTGTAAGCCAGGATGGTCACCATCTCTTGACCTCGTGATCCGCCTGCCTTGGCCTCTCAAAGTGCTGGGATTACAGGTGTGAGCCACCACGTCTGGCCCAGGTTCACCCTGAATTAATTTACTCCTTGGGTGTGTAGACAACACCCTGCTTTCAGCTATTTTCTGTAACCCAGTTCATGACTGTGCAGCTACAGTATCTGCTAGAGTAAATCCTCCTTCCATATCCAAACCACACCTTCCTCCCAAACAGAGAGGATGTAAAATGCCGTGCGGATGTGAGCAGGCTGTGTTCCTGCACGGGCCTCTCTTGTCTTCATAATGAATTTCTTTAGAATAAAATGTTCATTATCAATTTTGAGAAAAGAAGAGCATTTCAATGAGTACCTGTTTGACCAAGCTATCCTTTTTCTAAATACCGGGTACCCAATATGAACTTGCAATCTTTAGGGGTATTTTGTAATTTAAAAAAATCTGTGAAAATATTATGCATATAAAAGGCATTACCTTCTGCATACTTACATTGCAAATTCTGCATTTAACACCTTCCTCGCAGTTAAAAGCAAGCACTGTCTTCTTATCTTGAACTTGTACATCAGGAAAATGAGATGCCTTAGATGTTCCTGGAGCCTGAACAAAACCCACAGGAAACCTAATTGCTAGAGGAGGGCATGCATTCCACACCCTGGTTCTATGAATGAAAATGTAAAATCAGATGTATTTTGTTAGTGGCTTCTCTTTCAATGTCCAGTGGCTAGAAATTTATTAGAATTCTGTGCACTGAATGATTATCCTGGGAAAGAAAATAAGTGAGAAATATGCCCTTGAAAGACAGGAGCGTGTGCTCGGGTCAGGCTGGAGGACAGTCCCAGGGTGCAGAGAGAAATTCCAGAGGCTCCACGGCGCAGCTCCAGCCTGGCAGACTGCAGAAGGTGACTGGATGTGAGCGTTTCCCTTACCCAGAAAGCAGAAAAGCAATCCACGCTCAGACCCTCAATGTCTGAGATACTCCAAAGGGGCCGGCTCTTGGAAGGGGGTCATTTAACTTGAATAACTGAACACCCATTAAATGCTTCAGTGTATTAAAAACAAAATACGACTGAGCTTCTGTTCAAGAAGCTCTACCGCTCTAAGTCACAAACACCCCAGCGTCCATCAGTCACAGGAAAGGGTAAGGTCACTGAGCACCTGAAGTGGGAGAGGGCACCTAAGTCAAACTTCCTCTTTCCAGGGAGTGTCCGGGAGCGGTGGGAAGAGTGCAGGCTCCAGGTCCTGACAGCCACACTGCTCTCAAGCTGTGGAACCTCAACACTGTCTATCAATGCCTCTGAAAATCAGCTCCTTTATGTGCAAAATGAGATGTGAATTAGCTCGATTTAGCTATTCCACAATGTGTACACATTTCAAAACGTCATCTTGTACACAATTATATACAGCTTTTATTTGTCAATTTAAAAATATATTTAAAAATTATTTTTAAATGTTTAATAAAAAATAAAAATGTTTTAAATAAGAAAACAATGGCCCTCACGTAGCTGTGTGTGACCAGTGAGAACCACCCGCAGAGCAGCTGGCACTGAGGAAAATGTTCTCTCCCTCTTCTGTCCCTGCATCTCCTTCAATCGTCCCTACCCTGACCTGCCTCGCTGCCACCACCCACCCACATGCTCAGCAGCATGTAGTCTAGGGCAGCTCTGACTACAGAAATAAGCAGGTGATTGGAAGATGGGTCCAGGAGGAAGAACACCGGAAGCAGATTCTTAAAATCTTTATCGAATACCCAAAGCTGTTTTCAGTTTCAAGCTTCTTCTTACCTCAGGACACTTACACATGCTGTTCCCTTCAGGTGGGAAGCTCCTGCTGCCCCTCTGATGAGAGCATCATATTCTACTATTATACATATAAGTGTAATACAAATAAAATACAAATTATTCCATATCATAAATATAAAATAATAAATGTTATTTCTTCTCTGAAGCTTTTTTTTTTTTTTTTTTTTGAGTTGGAGTCTTGCTCTGTCGCCCAGGCTGGAGTGCAGTGGCGCGATCTCCGCTCACTGCAAGCTCCGCCTCCCAGGTTCACGCCGTTCTCCTGCCTCAGCCTCCCGAGTAGCTGGGACAACAGGGGCCCGCCACCACACCCGGCTAATTTTTTTGTATTTTTGTAGAGACAGGGTTTCACTGTGTTAGGCAGGATGGTCTTGATCTCCTGACCTCGTGATCCGCCCGCCTCGGCCTCCCGAAGTGCTGGGATTACAGGTAGGAGCCACCGTGGCCAGCCTCTTCTCTGAAGCTGTTTCTAAACTCCTCTCTCGCCCCTAATCCTTTGGGTGCCCCAGGAAAACCCAGCTTGCACGGGATCATAGGGACTTTGTAGCTGTGAAGTAAGGGACCAGGTCTCTTTCCAGTCTCCAGCCAGGGCTGAAGCACTTCTCTGAGCAGGAGCTGCCAGCAGGCAGGGAGGGATCTGTTGTGCAGGCATTTGTATCTGCCTGCCTGATGGCGCTCCTAAGATCTGGAAAGTGAGCCACGTTAAGGTAAAAAGCAAACAATTTTGGGTTACATATGTGTCCCTTCATAGGATGTATATACATATGCTGAACGAGCTTGCCCCGGACATACCCATTTCCAAATGCAGTGGGCACTTCGTGTGAGCAAAGAAGATCTGTAGAGCAAAAAGCACTGGCTCTGAAGATGGACAGACCTAGGTTCAAATGCCAGCTCCTGCATTTTCAGTGATGGCCACAAGCAGATTCTCTCTCTAGTTTCCTCATCTGAACAGTGAGTGGAGACAGAGCTGTAGTGAGCATCAGATGGCACAGTGTGTAAAGCGTGCCCGGCCCACATCGGGTCCTCGATAGACAGCAGAGGCTCTTGCTATTCTGTGAGGAAGGATGGAAAGAGCGCACTGTTTACTGGGTGTTGGCCATTTGTCATGCATGAGGCTTAGCACTTTTGTTGATGATGTGCATCTTACACATGCAGACACACACACAACTGAAGTAACTCTTAAAGGATAGTTTTTTAAGAAAGCTAAAATAATGAATCATTCAAATATAAAATGAAGATTATCAAATATTTTATTTAACTTATAAATAAGGAAAAAACTAGTAAGATATTACAACTGAGTCAAAAGAAAATTTTAAAAATACATCAATGAAAAAATTGATATTCGTAGGTAGAGCAATTGCATTCCACTGCACAGAATTTCTTTGGATTTCTCTGTTCATGAACATTTTCATTTCTATAATTTTTCTATAATTTACAAAATTGTCAAATAGCTCAAAGACAGTGAAAAGGGCAAGCCTTAAAATCAGATAATTTGGAAGAGTTACCAGATACTCTTTTTGGTTTTGTCTAATTCAAAATTTTTCATGATGTTTTCTGGCATAGCTATTATTATTCCCATTTGCAGTTGAGGAAACAGACTCAGAATACAAGTGTGTGATGTGTCTACAGTCACCAAAAAAAAAAAAAAAAACAAGTGTAAATGGCAGTGTCTACATGCAAGCTCATCTTTCTATCACTCCAAACCTAGAGTGGCTTTATTTAAAGAAGTGGGATTTGCTTTACTTGTATATTTCAGGGGATGAACAATCAATACATCCGTCGAGAAGTCTTCTGCTGTGGAACTTGTCATGAGCTCAAAAGCTTCTGGGAAAAAGAAATTAGCAAACAGACTTTTTACCGAGAACTGGAGGAAGATCGTCAAGAAAGAAGCGCCCTGAAAAAGTATGTGAATTGTTTCTCTGTTATTACTTTTAAAGTGGATTTTCCAGAGATATGCCAGATATGAAGACTCAGGTAGGGAATTCTCTTTGGTACCCACTGCTGTAGGAAGGTACATATGCTGTACATGAAAGCATAAATTCTGTGCAGTGACAGGAGGAAATGCGAGGTCTCATGAGGAAATGGGAGCAAGACTTGGAAGGAAGAAGTTTACTGTGCTCACAGGTCCCAGAGGAGGGGGTCACACATGCATGTCCCACAGGGCCAGAGGGGAAGCTCCTGGTTTTGGTCAGGTGGGAGAAGAGCTAGCGGGAACCTCTTAGCCAGAGTCTTTATTGGGGTTTCTATGAAAAAGGCAAGGCAGTGCAGAGTGTATAATTCAGGACCAGTTAGTTTGAGTCATTCTGTCAGGATTTGGGCTATAGGAGTTGTTTCCAGTTGCCTGGTTCCTGGCCCCAGGATAATCAAGTGCAGGGGAAATAGTGGCTCAGTGTATGAGAGTTAGACAAGGAGGTGGCTAGGGCTACAGACTTGAGATCGGTTGGTCTGGAGATTGGCCAAGCCTTTTGCTATCTCTAAAATAGGGCTAGTCCTAGCAGGGGCAGTCTCTCCCTAGCCAGCAAACTTTGTAAGATGTCAAAACATCATAAAACACAGAAAATAGAAAATATCACCAATACATCCACTCATTCAGTCTTGAGAGTATACCAGGGTTTTTCCACCTCAGCGCTATTGACATTCAGGGCCAAATAATTCTTTGTTGTGGAGGGTTGTTCTGTGCTAAGATGTTTATCAGCATCCTTGGCCTCAATACATTAGCTATCTGTAAGATCTCCACACACATTTTGAGAACCAAGGCCACCTGGAGGGCAAAGTCATCCCCGATTGAGAACCAATGACTTACAGATATGGACAAGACTTTTTTTAATATAAAAAATGAAGTTACGTTATTTATGTCTTGATAAACTAAAACAATCTGTTCGCTACCCTTTCTCTGTTACAATCTTTAGCACATGTGGTTACACTAAATTTCAGGGTTAGGTTGACGGATGTGTATATGTGCGAAAAACTAGTGTAATAAAAAGATCCCTCATCTGGGATAATATGTACCAAGATTCTTGGGAGAAGGGTAATGTGGTCTTTCCCTCACTGGCAAGTGAACTTGTTGTTCTATTCCAAGGAGTCTGCTGAGAGATGAAGTTTTGCTTATGTGGGAAGACGTGTCATATGTGTCAACCTCAGTCTGAATGCCAGGGCCAGCACCTACCCTCACACGTCAAATGCCTTGGAGCAGAAGGATCAGCTCAATTCTTCTGGGCCTGTCCGGGTTCTCTGTCCCTAAAATGGGAGAGGCTAGCCAGGCTGTCTGTTTGCTGGGACGTCTGCTCACAGGTGGAATGGTAGTCATGTGTTCTCCACAGCAGAGCACTGTGATTCCATGTTTCTGTGCCTGCCTGGTGCATGCTGAGCTGAAAACATGAGTAATTCACATGAGTAAAACTCAAAGTTAATTTTTAAGACAAAATCCTTTCTTAAGCCAGAGAGGACCCTTCTTCCATAAGCAGAGAAGAGCTCTGCCAACATTCCAGCCACACTCCTGGTGGCCTAATGGACAAAACTAGGCCTTCCTACATGCTAGAAGAGTCTCATGTTAGAGCATCCAATCCTGTAGATTCTCAGGGAAGTGAAGAGAGTCCGTTGTGTGGTCCCCACCATCTTCCGTCCCCCAGTCCTGGCCCACTAGCCCACTGGAAGCCAGATCCCATCTTGAGCCCTGTGCTGTATCTTCCCTTCCAGAAAGCAAAACTTGCAATATGATCTTATTTTTGTCAAGATAGTAAAACTTTTATATATATAGTATGTAAAGGAAAAAGATTAGAAGAAAATACACTAAGATACTGAAAGTGGTTATTTTTGACTAATAAGATGACAGATTGTGTGTGTGTGTGTGTTCTCCTATTTTTTCCAAAGTTTCTGTAATGATCCTGTGCCATTTTTAAGTAAAAAATAAGTTATAAAAATGGCAATCAATTGCAAATTGTCCATAGAACAAAATGCATTAATTCTCCAGGCTCCCATGTTCCCTAGAAATGACCCCCTCTTCTAAAGTTTGGAGCAGTTTCCTCTAACTTCTATGACTGAAAGAATAAATCTTTGTGCTCATCATGAAACATTTCATCAGTCTCCCCCAACGAAGTGTTTGAAGACATGATTGCAGCAGCCACAGGACTCAGAACCAGGATACCACCAGGAGCTGGGGAAGCGAGGCTCCCTGTGGTCTCTCCTTCAGCCTCGAGGCCACCCACCAGAGCCATCACGCTTATCAATTGTGAATTAAAATTCTCAAAAGCTTTTTTCATTTGGCAAACAATGAATTAAAACCTTGTGGTTTTACTGTTATTTTTGCTGAACAAAAAAGCAAAGCAAACACATACACAACTCACATGAACCAAGTTTCACAAAAAATCTAGAATTTTTAAATTAGAACGAAAATGTCAGAGCCCCCCTTTGCTTAAATCCCCGCTGAGCTGAGCAAATAGTTTGAAACATTGTCCTAACAAAGTAATAATCTCCCAACGTGTACTTGCAGACCAATGAATATCATAGACCCCTGAGTCCCTATTCCACCCCTGTGGGCTCTGCCTCCCCCAACTCCACTATACGCAAATGCCCACCTTCCAATGTACACATACACACACACACGTAACACACAGACCTTTTTAAATTCTACCCTCCATTTATAAAAGGCAAATCCAATCCACTATGCAATCAAGAAATGTTCTAAATGTATGAGTGAGCAGTAGAGACCAAAAAACCTCCAAATTTCCCACCAAATCCCTTTGTTGACAGGAGAACAAATCCAGTAATGTCTTACGTTCCTCTCCCTCTGCTGGGCTAATCTGGCAAGATGTTGTTCCAGAGCTGGGTGAAGTGTGTTAAGCACACACCTGTGGGTTCAGTGACTCAGAGAAGGAGGCTGGGGATGGAGACAATCCATTTTTCCTAGGAACTGATATGCTGTATCTGGCAGAGGTCCCAGGGTGAGATCACAAGACAAAGTGGGTGGCCCCACAACTGGGTACTTCTTTAATTTCTCTGAGTCTGGATAGAGAAAAGCAACAGAACATGGATGGGTTAGTCCCCCAAAGAAGTTAGAAAGTGTTTGCAAACAACTGATTGAGGCAATTCGAGAAGAGTCGAGTGTCGTATAGGCATGATGTGTGACCATACCTCCTGGTTTGCCTGGGGCAGTTTGGATGGACACCTATCAGTTTGGTATAATCATTGACTACAGTCTCTTTTATTTTCAAAAGTATCTCAGTTTAGATAATAAGTCTTATGGACACCTAAGTGCCCAGCCAGTAGCTATAACTAAGAAACTGGACAGTGCTTATATGAACTACTAATGTTTTCGGGCAAGAAGTGTGGTCTTCAAAATTCTGCTTCATAATTTAGCAGATCTCAACAGTGTCAGGTAGACATTAAATCTGGGGGTGCATCAAGCCTCACCCCAAGACCACTCACCTCTCTCTTGCTCTGAAGGCTGCCTATCAATTGTATCAATTAGGATATTTTCAGCTTCAGGCAATAAGATATTGGACTCAGAATCTACTAGCCAGATGAAATCGCTATTTCAAACTTTTTATAAGACAAGAGTTAGTCTACAAAGAATAAGCAGGGAGAAAATTTTTAGTTAGATTTTTCATTCAAACTGAAAGGATAGGAAATGCAGCTGGTAAACTGAGTTGGTCAAATGAGTATGCCAAAGCTTGTCAGCCTGTGTGAACACACTGAGCTCTGCCCCTTGACCAGAGATGCAGCCAGTGAGCTGCAGGCCACAGGGAAACCAGACTCAGGCCCGCCTCTTCCCACTATGAAAAAACAATTGTCAAGGCATGCTTCCTGCCTACGAGAATGGAGTAGGTGTAGCAAAATTGTCATCTGACTTTTCATACTAAAGTAAAAGCACAGAGATCAAGATTGGAGTACTGAGATCTGAAATGGGAGATCAAGAATTCAGTCAACTCTAAATTCCTTGAGGACAGGGAGTATTCGATTGCTCTTCTTTACATAGTGTGGTAGCCACAGAAGTGCCCCACTCAGAGGACCTTCAGGATCATTTGCTTTGGGAGCATAGTTGACTGATAGTGCCGGCCGCTCCCTTTCTGGATCCACCATCGTGTATGAGCCAAAGCCATACTTCCCCCAGGCCGCTCCCAGCCAATTACTGAGGGTGGCAGGGGTGCTAGTTCCAGGCAATTCCTGCATGACATGGCTCCCCTGTGGGCAGCATTTGCTCAGGGACTCCCCACCAGCCCAGCTCAAGCTTCCTCAGAACTGTGCTGTGGGTTGGGTTCTTCCTACTCAATCGTTACTTCCCCCCTCTCTTTTCACAGATGTCAGACCAGCGCTGAAGTCTAAAGGCTATTCTTGACTGCTTCAGTTTCCTCCCTTCTTTACTTTTCGCAGGTGTTTCCCACAAATCTGCTTCTTGGAGGACCCAAACTGACACATATGTTTAGTGCCTAGCATAAGATAGGAAAAATATAATTATAGATCCAGTTGTCCTCACCCACTCCAGGAATAACATTATGATTATGACTTAAGAGTCTCACAAATATCATCCTGCTTTCTAGGTAAGCCCCGGACTTATCAAGGAGAAACTGTGCTCCTAGGAATTAACAACTCCTCCACAAATCAGAAGAATCTAGAACAAGAAATAGTAAACATTACTTGGTCTCAATTTGAAAAGTGAGGCCAATATTTCTAGGCTGAAGGTAAAAATGTTCTCTCTGAGCTTTAATGCCAGTTGTATGGCTCTTCTGATGTATCTGAATTTGTAAGTCAAGTTTTAAGCATTATCTTCCTCCTATGGACCTTCCCTACTTCAAAAGGAAAGCCCTACATATAAATTTTTATTCACCGGTTTACTGAGAACCCCAAAATAAACAGAAGCAACACAGTAATGAAAGATATCAACCAAAAAGGAGCAGCAAAGTGTCTGAATATTCATAAAACAAGATTTAAAAGACATTTGGATAGATGGAGGCCTGAATTCCTTACCATTTAGCAATAGTGTATAACTGCTGTGAAAAGTGAATTAATATATTATGAACCCCAGATTCCTATTTTTTTTCCTAGAATGAATGCATCATACCAAATGTGTTAACTCAGGTCCTCTAAGAAGCAGAGGGCAAGAGGAGAGTAGATGTGTATGAGATTTTTTGGAGGAAGCACCTGTGAATGAAAAATTGGAAGGAAACTGGTGTGCTGATGAATGTTTACCTGGCTCTCTGGAGGAAAAATGTATTGTGTATATACATACATATGTTTACAAGTCTGACTGATATGAAAGCTGTGTAGCACACAATTTATAAATAATAAGAAAATGCACAATGCCCATTATAAATCCCATATAGTCACCTGATTCTCACAGAGAATAATAATGAAATGTGATTTTATTCATTTTTGCCAACCTCTTGTATCTGGGCCAACTGGTGGTTGCAATTCAACCATAATTTGTAAAAATCATAGAACAAGTAAACATTTGATTACTATCCAATTCAGAAAAGAAGTCATGTCGTTGAAGATAATAGTTTTCTAGTACTGAAAGAATATTTCCTCAATTTTTTTTGCTATTTATAATGTATTAGCTACAGACATGACACACTTCTAAATTTAATCCATGTTAACATTTTGTCCATCATTTTTTTAAGTCGAGACCAAGGGTCATAAAAGGAACCAGTCAGTAAATATTTTTGGCTTTTTAGGTCATATGATCTGCATTGCAGCTCTTCAGCTGTGCCACTGTAGTGTGAAAGCAGCCATAGCCATATGTAAATAAAATACACAAACAAGTGGGCAGGGCTATATTTCAATAAAACCTTATTTACAAAATGGGTAGCTGGCCAGATTTGGCCTTAGGGCCAAACCTTAGTTGAGACAATGAACAAAATGATACATCAAGTCATGTATGATTTATAGTGTTTGCCAACTTCCATGATGTAAATATTCCCACCACAGTCTATTTCAAGCTACCAATGAGATGTCAATGAAGACAAGTTCAGAAGAGGTGTTTGGTAGTAACACCTCATCATGTAGTACTTTCACCATAACAGGTGAAATAGACCTAAGTAATCTGAAGAGCATACATTGTAAAATGTAGTAAAATAATTAGGAAGTAATGAATTTTGCATAGTCAGTGTCCTTGTTTTAAAATAACTTAATTATAAGTTTATATAATTTACTTTTAATAATGTCTACATTTAAAAATTAGCTTATAAAATTCCTGAAAAGTTAATAATTGGTTGTCATGAACTGTTATGAGCCAGCGTCAGCACACCACGAAGCCAGAGAAATGAAGGAAAGTCATCAGACTGTGATGCGGGTCTGACCTCCATGAAGGAGAAAAAGAAGGAGTTAGGATTGGGAAGACAGCAGGGCAGCCCTGATAAGTTTTGGCCAGAGTAATGGGGAGTCAGTGAGCCAAAGCCACCTGTTAAAGAAGTTCTGCAGTTTGCTGGGACGGGCCTGCATTAATACCACGGCCATGCCCAGTCACTGTCTTAGAGCAGCCTGCAAGAAGTTTGGCCTTGGCATTGATCTGAGGCAAATACAAAGGGAAAGAAGCTGCAGCCACCAGTCAACTTTGCTCCTTACATCTGAGTGGCGCATTTTCATGGCCACCACACCCAGTAAAAGTTACAGTCCCTTTTGTTAATGAATGAATCCACATTAGGTTAAGTGCATCAAGTTCAATGAAACACCCAGGCAGCAGCCCTTATTAGTGAGCTTTAAAAGATCCTAGGTGACAAAAGTCATGTATTTGGTGGCAGATTTATTTACAGAGGCTTTCAGAGATGTGTAACAAAAAAAGCTTGTGAACCTGGGTATTCTCCAGGTTGGAGAGGTGGATTACAAATTAAAATATGGGATAAATACTTAATAACCATGATACAGAAATATAATTATGAAAATTACTAATCTGTGGATATCAAAGTAGAAGGTCATATAAGCTCAATAAATCATCACTTTTTTTAATTTTTGAGACGGTGTCTCCGTCTGTCGCCCAAGCTGGAGTGCAGTGGTGCGATCTCGGCTCACTGCAACCTCCGCCTCCCAAGTTCAAGCGATTCTCCTGCCTCAGCCTCCCGGGTAGCTGGGATTACAGGCGCCCGCCACCATGCCCAGCTAATTTATTTTTTTTTGTTTTTAGTAGAGGTGGGGTTTCACCATGTTAGCCAGGATGGTCTCGATCTTCTGACCTGGTGATCTGCCCGCCTTGGCCTCCCAGAATGAATGTCTTGACGGTACTGCCCCATGTGCCTCATTCTCTAACAGTATTTCAACTTTCAGGCCCTGCTTGCTCATGTGTTTATGCAACAGGCACCACCCAGCAACAGGCCCGTGTGCCAGATTCTTTCCATTCTTTCCTGGGCCCATAATTAAGCAGAGTTGTAAGTAAGAAGTTTTCCTGAAGCCAATCTGGTAATAGGTGCCTACAGCCTTCAAAATATTTATACCTTCTAAGTGGTAATATTTCACCTCTGGGAGCCACTCCGAGGAAAATAGACTGGGATGTAGAAAGAGTATTAAGTATTATACTCGTTGTGGCGTTATTTATAAGAATGAAAGATGAAAGTGAATCAATTTTTAAAATTCTTTTCTGTTTATTCTGATTTTCCTGTAATATGTGCATATTATCTAAACCCAGGACCTCAGAGCAGGACTCCAGAATCTTCCCATTCTTTCCCGGGCCCATAATCGAGCAGAGTTTAATACCATCCCCTTGGAAGTTAGGAATTAGATATATGAATTTGAGGGGAAACACACACGTTCAGACTGTAGCAGATTCCAAGCCCATTGTTTGAATATAGATACATAATGTTCCAGCACCATTTGTTAAAAAGCCTATCCATCCTCCATTGAGTAGCCTTAACCCCTTGTGAAAAATCAACTGGCCACATTACTGCGTATTTATTTCTGGACTTTCTATTATATTCTGTGCTAATAATCTATTTGTTTGTTCACTGCCTTGATGATGGTAACTTTATGTTAAGCTTCAAATCAGGTAGTGTGAGTCCTTCAACAGTGTTCTTCAAACTTCTTAAGGCTAATCTACTTTTGCCTTTCCATATAGAAGTTGGAATCATCTTCTTGATAGCTACAGAAAATTCTTGCTGGGATTTTGATTGGCATTACATGGAATCCACCTATCAATTTGGGAAGGATTACATTTGGGATAAAGCCATCTATCCATAGACTATGCCCTTGTGACTATTCATTTTTTTCTTTATTCATTTGTAAAAAGCATTGGTTTGTTGTTGTTGTTTTTGAGACGGAGTCTTGCTCTGTCGCCCAGGCTGGAGTGCAGTGGCACGATCTCAGCTCACTGCAAGCTCCACCTCCCAGGTTCACGCCATTCTCCCATCTCAGCCTCCCCAGTAGCTGGAACTGCAGGCACCGCCACCACGCCCAGCTAATTGTGTTTTTGTATTGTTAGTAGAGACGGGGTGTCGCCGTGTTAGCCAGGATGGTCTCGATCTCCTGACCTCGTGCGCGATCCGCCCGCCTCGGCCTCCCAAAGTGCTGGGATTACATGCGTGAGCCGCCATGCCTAGCAGCATTGGGTTTTTAAAATTATTACTTTACTTTAAGTTCCAGGATACATGTGCAGAATGTATAGGAATACATGTGTCATGGTGGTTTGCTGCACCTATCAACCCGTCATCTAGGTTTTAAGCCCCGCATGCATTAGGTATTTGTCCTAATGCTCTCCCTCCCCTTAACATAGGAAAAGAAAACCAAACACCACATGTTCTCACTCATAAGTGGGAGTTGAACAATGAGAACACATGGACACAGGGAGGGGAACACACAATGGGTTTCTTTTAAAAATATCTTGGAGAAGAAAAACAAAGCCACGGTTCAGTCGACCAGCACAGCTGGAGACAAATGCACTGAGCATGTGCACGGTTTCCCCTCCGCAGACTCAGAGAAGAATGGAGGCAGAGGCTGGAGAGGAGGCTGAGGATGCTGGACAACCCTGTTGAGAAGGAAAAGCCGGCACACACCGCGGACTGAGCTCTGCCTGCCTCACCGACTTCAAAGATAGCAAGCGACCACTTTTCTAGGGGAAAAAAACTAACACTCAAGTTGTGCTGATTTACTAAACAGGACGCTCTCTATTTGTGCTTCCATTTGCTAGGGGATTTACATGTGAAACCTCCCCCAGTGCTAATGGGAGTTATTATCCTGCTCAATCCCCTCCGCACAGAGGACAGGATGACCGCAAGTGGGATAGGACGCTTGGGCTATTTAATAAAAGAGCTCTTGGAATTAGCACTCTCCAGGTCTCACAGACCCATGTAGCCTAGTATATTTCCACATTTCCTTGTCATTTTGAAATGTTTCAAGTCTTGAGACATTTGAAGTGTTTTCTCTAAGCTTACCGAGGGCAATGACCTTGATGAAAATTTGGCTTTGCCAGGTGTCCTGGAAAAAGAGTCATAAAATCTTGTCCTTCTTTCCCCGCTTTTTGTGAACACAGAAATGTAACTGCTTGCAGAAATAAAGCTATTATTATAAAAAGAATTTAACAATATGGCTTGAAAAGGAACTCAATTTATTTCTTCCTGTAAATGTGTTGCTTTTTCTTCATAAACGGGTTTAATTAGAAAACTGCAATGAGAGCATGCGGATAAACTTGGTTGCCGCGCCCTCAACGTCAAGTCCCCCATGTGGACGCCCTTCACACTTGTTGAGTTAGTTCTCTGGTGGCGCAGCAGGTGTCCAGACACGTTCTGGAATTTTAAGTCACCCTCACGTTAGCCTCCTCTCAGGCCCCAAACACGATCACAGGGCAGGTGGCCTTCTATGGGGGCAGTAATGATGGGGCTTCCACTGCCCGGGTTCCTCCCTGCAAGGCTACAGCAGAGGGATGTAAACGGGGAGCTCTGGGGGGCCAAGAAGCACAGACGGCCAGAGAGACACAGAGGGTGCAGTGGGGGCATAGTTTGAAACGGTGCTGGACAGGTTCCCAGCCCTCGCAGTTGAGATGCGCTGGCATAACTGCTTCCTTCTGCTCCCACAGGAAATAAACGACCTCATTTCAGCTGACAGAGCCACGGGTGGCAAGAAGGGTTGGAGAAGTGTTCTACCCTGCCCACCGTGATGAGATCCAGGGTGCCCTACTGGTCCCTGCCATGGGCTCTTACTCAATTCAGATGCAACAAATTAGCCGCAAACTACAGCTGGGAAAATCTGCACAAAGTTCAGAAACGGTGGAGACTAATAAAGAAATAGACCTGTCAGGGCGCGGTGGCTCATGCCTGTAATCCCAGCATTTTGGGAGGCCGAGGCTGGCAGATCAGGAGGTCAGGAGATCCAGACCATCCTGGCTAACACGGTGAAACCCTGTGTCTACTAAAAATACAAAAAATTAGCCAGGCGTCGTGGCGGGTGCCTGTAGTCCCAGCTACTCGGAAGGCTGAGGCAGGAGAATAGCGTAAGTAAACCCGGGAGGCGGAGCTTGCAGTGAGCCAAGAACATGCCACTGCACTCCAGCTTGGGCGACAGAGCGGGACTCCATCTGAAAAAAAAAAAAAAAAGAAATAGAACTTTGGCAAGGGCAGAGGGCCATGGGAATGAACATCAGGAAGGCTAACCACATCTGGGGGTCAAGGAAAAGGGAAAGCTCCCTGAGAAATGGATGCTTAAGCTGAGGTCTAGGTGGTATTAATCATTTCATTATGCATGTGTACATCAGAACACCATGGTGTACACCCTACATATATAGAATAAAGAAAGAAATACAAACAAGTAAGAATCATCCAGGAAAATGCATCAGGGAGGATGTCTTGGGCAGAGGACAAAAGCAAGTGTGAAGAACCAAAGAGGAGCAGGAGATAGGGGGTGGGGACCCGAGGTCCCTGGGGAGATGTGTCTGTAGCCCAGAGACTGGGGAGGGGACTACTCCATAGGAGGGGGAGGGGTGCAGGGGCCTCCGCAGCCAGACAAGAAACTCTGGATCTAACCACAGGGTAACAGCAGGCCATTGACAGGTTTCAGGTGGAGGAATGAGCTGATTAGATGTGCATTGTTAATTTTTTCAAACACACATATACGTGTGCATGTAACTTCGTGTAGGTGCACAAATATGATCGTATCATGCACGCCGATAGGGTTCATTACAATTTTTTGCTAACCTTTTCTCCTTCGTGTCTGTGGTTGGTACTTACTCCCTCCCTTTTTCCTCTACTCTCAACTGTCAGTGACTCTCATGTCTCAGTAACAACCTCACCTAGTTTTCTACATGTACAAACACACACATACACACTCACACACACTCACACCCACTGTATATCTAAAAGGCTTTGTGTGGATGTGTTCATGGGGTAAAATCTTACAAAGGATCATATTCTTCTGTGTATATTGTGTTCCTCACTCAACCATACCTCATACAAATGCTCCCAGGTCAATTTAATTCCAATTCACATTTTTAATGGGGCCATATTATCCCATGATGTGGATGTTCCGTAATAAAGTTAACAATTCTTTTAGACAT
Source organism: Homo sapiens (assembly GCF_000001405.40). NCBI lineage: Eukaryota > Metazoa > Chordata > Mammalia > Primates > Hominidae > Homo > Homo sapiens. The sequence continues at coordinate 38,692,293 of NC_000009.12, read as the reverse complement.
AGACAGTCACATAATTTCCAGGTTTTGCATTTGAACAATGCAGCAGTAAATACTCTTGTCTGGAGGTCCTTTATCCCAGGGGTTTCATACTAGAAAATATATTCCCGGGAATGGAAAATTAGAAAATGGTATTTGCGATTTTTACTTTTAACATGGGCTTTCCAGAAAGGCTGGAGAAATTCCCATTTGAACAGACAGTTTACGAGAGTATGCTCTCCCCACGTTGCTGAGAGCATTAAGTGTCATAGCTAGCTTAAATTTTCTGTAGTCTGAGGGGTGTTGAGTGACATCAGTAATTGGAGTCCCTTCATTTGGTTGTGGATTAGGTGAATCTTCTCATCTGTGAATCGCTTATGCCTACTTTATTGCCCATTTTTCTAAGATGTGTCTTTCATGTCAATGTGTACAAACTCTTAATATATTATAAAATGTAACCCCTGGCTTGTCATTTACATTAGAAATCTAGAGGGCTGGGAAGGCCTGCTTAAATACTCATTATTAAGTTTGAAAAGCTTAAAGCTATCAAGGCAGAAATAGACATATTTATTTATATAAAAATGAAAAGCTTATATGTAGTAAAATGTACCATAAGCAGAGTAGCTTTGGCAGATTTGCAAGTTTAAATGATCACTCCACCACAGCTGAGAGAATGAATTTGAGGGGAGATGGTAGGAGATGGTGGGAGATGGATTAGGAGGTTGTTTCCCAGGTCTCCATGACAGAGAATGGACGTGAGCAAACCGAATGGATAGATCTTGCAGGTTGACTGAATGCAGGGGAGTGAGGCACAGTGCATCCACAAACACAGATATTCATGTATTTTACCTAGCATTTATTTAACATGGGCTAAGAAAGAAGAATGTGAGTCCAAAGAGATAAGCAGAGCCGGTTTTGTTAACATTTCCACTATGTACTAGTGGGGACCTCAGACAAACCCCCTGAGCTTGAGTTTCCTCATCTGGAGGTGGTTGAAATCGAATGAGCAGGTATCAAAGCTCCCAGAGCAGAACCTGGCACAAGGCGGGCCCTCAGTGCACCTGAGCTCTCAGCCTCCTCCTTCTCTCTCTGCTCCCTCCTAGCTGTCACCTGGCTGGGCCCATGGAAAATGCACGCTCATCCTGGGCAGTGGTTACAAGGCCTGCTTGCCAGTCAGAATCACCAGGAAAACTGCTTTAAATTCACAGATTCCTGGGCTCTGCCCCCAGAGGTTCTAGTTCTGTTGATCTGGTGTGGGGCTCAGGGATGGTATTTTTATCACGCTGCCCAGGAGACGAGATGCTTAGCCAGACTTGGAAACTGATTCCCCAGAGGGTGCAGAATCTAGTGGAGAAGACAACATGATATAAACTGTGTCTGCTTGGTTAAGTTTTTCAGAAGAGCACAGTGGTTCTCTGGGGGGAAGCATGGAAGTCTCCCAGAGAGGGTGAGATCAAGCCTTGAGGTAGAGTCAAAGGACATCCCGGACACAAGAACCAGCTGTGTAAAGCCAGGAAGTGGCCTCTGTGCTGTCCCTGTAGGGGGTGGAGGGAGGCAAGGTTGGGGTTAAATGGGGAAGGCCCTTGAATGCTGAGCTAAGGAGTTTGGACTTTATCACGTAGGCAATGGAGGCTCATCAAAGGTTTTTAAAGCAACCAAGTAACGTGCTAAGAACTTGTCTTAGGGACTTAGTCAAACAACCCTGGCAGCAGTGTGGAGAATGCACTCTACAGATGTTAGGGATTGTCTTTGTTAAAACTATGATGATCCAAACAGCTTTATTTGGAAAATATACCCTTTATGTGATCCTCTACTCTGGTCAAGGTGAGTGGAAGTACAAAAATAAGAATGTGGTCTAAGTGATAAGACACAGAGAGCAAAGCATTGCAACTGTGCCTTATGCTATGACTCAAGACAAACACGTTTAAACTTCCAGCTTCTCATTTCAAAGTTGTTAGCACTTTTCCTTTAATAACCTTGTGTGAAACACAGGTTGAAAAATGGCAAAATTATTCTACCAACTAAGAGGTGACCTCAGCTGCTCAAAAAACTTCACTGAATTTAAACCATAACTTTATGTTTGACAAGGAATAGCAACAACAGATCCTTTTTTCTTTTGGACAGCTACACATGATTCAGTATTAGTGACAGAAGAAATTAAACCAGAAAGTGTCCCTTTTTGCAAAGCAATTTAATGATGAAATCAAAAAAGAGCTCTCGACTTCCAGACCAGTTCACAAGTCCTCAGGCTGTTTTTGGTGCAGAGGAGATGAAATGCGCTTGCCCAGCCCAGGAGACACAATGGCACTTGGAGGCTTTGCTATGGGAGACGTTACAGATGGGGTGAGGGAGAGGGAAAGGGAGAGAGATACTGGTTAGAAAAGATTTACTGTCCTAGGCATGCGGACGAGATGGGCAGCACCCAAAGACAGTTTGGCAAATCAGAGGATTATTTGCAACACTAAGCCACCTCCCCCAGACTCCATGAGAACTGAAGCAGTGCTAAAGTGCAAACAAGGCACAAAGCCAGGCTTCCCAGGAGGATCACAACAATAGCGGCAGCAGCAGCAACAGCAGGGGAAGGAGCTCCAGGGCAATTGTAACATTTTCCTTGAAAACATGCAGATTCTAAGGGAAGAAGATAGGATTCTCTCACACTGAGACTCTCCCATTAGCTTAGAAAATAATGAGTTTTCTTTGAAAATAATAAACAAATTGACTTTTTCTGATTATAAAAATATGTTTGTGGTAAAAGTTCAGAAAAGGAAAGAATGTAAAAATAACCCACATTGCCACCACCCAGCAATAAACACTCCTAATATTTTGAAAACTATCTAACATCTCTCTAGTCATACCTACTCAAAAAGATAAATAATTTTTTAAAACTGAGGCCTTACTGTTTTTCCATTCAGTAATATATTGCGGACATCTTAAAACTGATAAATATAGATCTACATAATTTTTTGTTGGCTGCATAATATTTAGATGTGAATGATTTATTTGAACAATTTTTTTTTTTTTTGAGACGGAGTCTCACTCTGTGCCCAGGCCAGAGTGCAGTGGCGCGATCTCGGCTCACTGCAAGCTCCGCCTCCCGGGTTCACGCCATTCTCCTGCCTCAGCCTCCCGAGTAGCTGGGACTACAGGTGCCCAACACCACGCCCGGCTAATATTTTTGTGTTTTTAGTAGAGACGGGGTTTCACCGTGTTAGCCAGGATGGTCTCGATCTCCTGACCTCGTGATCCGCCTGTCTCGGCCTCCCAAAGTGCTGGGATTACAGGTGTGAGCCACCGCGCCCGGCCTTAATTCGTTTTTAATAAAACTTTAATAAAATTTCAGAGTTTAACAAAACTTAAGCATATTCTACTTTACTAGAATTTACAAAGAATTCCTTGAAAATGTTATTGCAGACATGATAACATAGAAAGGTTGTGTGTGCCCTGTTAGAATATGTCTTTTTTTTTTCTTTTTGATACGGAGTGTCGCTCTGTCGCCCAGGCTGGAGTGTAGTGGAGCGATCTCGCCTCACTGCAAGCTCCGCCTCCGGGTTCACGCCATTCTCCTGCCTCAGCCTCCCGAGTAGCTGGGACTACAGGCGCCCGGCTAATTTTTCGTATTTTTAGTAGAGACGGTTTCACTGTGTTAGCCGGGATGGTCTGCATCTCCTGACCTCCTGCTCCGCCCGCCTCGGCCTCCCAAGGTGCTGGGATTACAGGCGTGAGCCATCGCGCCCGGCCAACTTTCTGGTTTTTCAGTGTGTGTATACATACACACATGCTTATCCAATTGTCTGTTTTGGATAAAGTCTAAAAGTAGAACTGCTGTGTCGGAAGGCGAGCCACAGAATGGACAGCTCCTAGCACACAACCACCTCTCCCTGTCCCCGCACTGTGGACACTGTAGGTTGTGCCTGACCAGTGTCTAGTCCGCCCTTTCCCTTACAACAGACTGTAACGGTTAGAGAAGAGGACGACACCCATCTCAACTCACCTTCCCTGCGGTGAGGACAGGGCAACTCCACCCCTAGGTGCTTGATACAAGCCTGGCCAATTGAAATGCCACAGCCTCCCAGTGCCAGCGATTGGCTCAGGGATGGTCCCCTGACCCAATTGAGTCCAGGAAGAGCCAGGGCCCAGGCTTGGGCTGGAGCTACAGGAAAGGAGATTGCTGGGTCGGCAGTAAAGATGATGGAGCCTGGAGCTGCTGCCAGTCACCCCGGGAGAGTGTTACCCAGGAATGAAGCCAGCACAGGAAGGCAAAGCTCAGGGAGAGAGAGAGAGATGAAAGAGAGACACACAGAGTTTTAGTCCCTGGACCCAAGCGATTTGGAGCCAACTTTATCTCTTAAATCTTTTAATTTTCTTTTCTTAAATCATTGTAGTTGTCTATCTCTTGTAATTTAAAACTCCTGGATACCGGGGGAAAAGTCATTCACTGAGACTGGCCCCAGTACAGGGGCCTCTGCCCCCGGACCCTGCCTGCATCTAGTGATCTTTCCTGCCCTGCCATCGGCCTTAGCGACTGATCCCAGTCGGGACACTTGAGCGGAGCCGGGCGCAGAGAGACACCCCGCCCCGAGCCAGGAAGAGACGCTTCTCCCAGGCGCCTGCGCAGAGAGCCTGCGGCGGCCCGGGCTCACCTGCTTCTGTGTCCTGAAGTCTGATCACCCCACTTAAAAGAAAGCATGACTCATCAACTAAATGGACGAACTCTGGAGTACAGAATAGAAACAACTTCATTTTTAAATATTTTCTGCTGGACTTCTCAGAGTCACTAGCATGCTAATCTGCATCAGGACTCTCCGAAGGCCCAGTGTGGTCAGTGTGCAGAGCAGGAGGCGGGCTCTGGGGCCGGCCAGCCCGCAGGCTTCCGGGTGAGAGTGCCAGGCAGTGCCTCGAGCTGGAGACCTCAGACAAGTAGCTTAACCTCTCGGAGCCTCCATTCCCTCCTTCCTAAAGCACCTACCTCATAGAGCTGTTGTGAACATTACGAATGCAAAGTGCTTGAAGAGCACCGGAAACAAACAGTCTGCAATAAATGTTAGCTATTAACATTTTAGCATTAACGTCTAGAGTGTCCTCTTTCCATCCTTGCCCCGTCTGAGGACTGTTGTCTTCCTGACTGGAATGCAAGCTCTTCTGCATTCTGTTTGCACTCGGGTGTGTCTGGCCTCCACACTGTCCTCTTAGCCCTGCTGGAGTTCTTCGTGGATGGGCTGCAGTCCCAGTGCCGGGATGGGGCCTTCCTGCGGAGCTGCTCTTCTCCCCTGATGTTTACTTAGGGCTGGCGTTCAGGGCACTTTTGTTTTTTCAGCCTCAGAATGTTGTTTTTTATTGGAATGGTGCGCCCTGGAGTAACAAGAGTAAATAGAGGTGTTTGGCATCCCCGACCCCACACGCCCTTCCTCCTGGGGGAGGAAGAGGCAAGTGGGCAAGAGAGGGGGCCGTTGGCACTCGAATTGCAGTTCAGAAGGACCCCTCCGTGGCGGTGGTCTTAAACACAAGACACCCTGCCTGTGAACTTCTGGCAAGGGATCCTTATTTTAAACAGCGTTTGTTTGGTTTTGGCTGGGCTGCATCCCCCCCACCCCCACCCCCACCCCCACCCCCATACCAAAATATGGAACGGTTCTTCCCAGGGAGAAAATTCTTACCTCTTCAGACACCTACTTGATGCCCCAGAGCATCGCCCCCTGTGCACTAAATATGGAACTGTCTCCTTAAGAGTCACGTCCATTTCCAGGCACAGGTGTCCAGGGAGGCCTCCTTGTACTTGAGCCCATAGTGATGCCTCAAGGTCAAATCAAAACTGAACCTTCTCATGGCCTAGCACTAGAAAAGTGGCCAAGTCAGGAGGGCACGTTGCCCTCCTTTATCCTTAAGCCCTTTCTTGAAAGACCATTGGACAATATATTAGAATGCAAGAACTCTCCCACTGGGTGAGCACCAAAGACTGAGCAATGTGGCGGGCAGGCAGGCTGGGGAATGTTTCTTGTTATTCTGATATTAATATTTCTACTGTGGCTTTCCTCTGTTTGGCATTTGCCTGGATTCTTTTTCCATCTCTCTATTTTCCACTGTCCCGCATTGTACACAAGGATGACACACTATTGGTGAACATCACTCTTTGCTTCTACTGCCTACTCAGCCATGTGCGGGACAGCAAAATGCTTCCAAGTGCAGCGCAGGACAGGGTTCCTGCCAGGTTCCTTGTGCGCCTCTACCTGTGATGCTGAGTGGGTATCTGGGGACCCAGAGAGGTCACTTTAATTCCCATGTTTCTTCTTTCCCCTGTCAAATCATGCATGGGAGAACCAGGCCAAGAGATTGAGTTTGGGTGCTAAAATAAATAAAAGAGATTAAAGAGCTAACTTTTTACCAAGTATGGCCTGATAACATTTCTCTTCCAAGACTTTTCCCAGGACTGAGTTCCAATTTTTAAGCAAATATGTAGTAATTAGCAGTCAACAGTTTATGTGCATCTATCCATTGTGGAGCAGTGGGTGGGAGAGTGGCTAAGAAAGAAACAGAAATCTACAAATCTGGCTTTCACTGGTTGCTTGCTGGGACTGTGACCAAGACTCAAATACAAATAGTCAATTGTTATTCATAGAGCCTGGGAATTCAGTGCTTGGGCTTTGGCGTCAGGCAGATCTGGGAGCTAATCTCAGTGCTGCCACTTATTAGCACATTATCTAACTTCTGTAAGCGTTAAACATCAGTTTCCACACCTTCAGGATGGGGCAATAATTCTACTTCACAGGCATTTGGGGAGGATGGCATAAGAAGATCTACCTGATCTACTGTAAAATCAGAGCCTTGGTTCATGCGGAGATGTCATTGGGAGAATGAGGAGTCAGGCCTCACAGTGACGGGGATGTTTTATATATCAGAGAAGGCTGGCATCCAGAATGTCCTGAGGGTCATAAAGCAGGAGCAGATAACCCAGTGGAAGAATGAACAAAGGAACCAAATGCACACTTTTCAGAGGAGCATACTCAGGTGGCCATGGAACACAGGAGTGTTCAACCTCATTGACAATGGAAAATGCCAGGCAAGACACAGAGAGCTGCCATATACACCCACAGGACAGCTAATGTGAGGACAACTGGCAACATCCCATGTTGGAGAGAGTATGAAGCATGGGACTGTGAACTGGCGCAGCCACTTTGGAAAATGGCTCAGCTTTGTCTACTGGAGTGGAGGATGCTGCACATGGCCTATGGCCCAGCAGTTCCTGTGGGCATCAGGAGGCATGTGCAAGAGTGTTCAGAGCAGCACTGTTACCATGAGTTACAATAACCATAATCTGGAACTGGCTCAGATGTTATTCAGCAATAGAGTGGAGAGGTGGATCGTTTGTCATGCAGCGGAATGTTAAATAGCAATGAAGATGAATGGATCACGGCTCTATGCAGCAAGATGGATGAATTCCAAATATTGAGCAGAAAAAGCTGAACACAACACATACGTCCCATATATTTGAAATTCACAAAATGCAAGACAAAATTCAACTTTGGAGATGCATATTTGGTGATTGGCAATGCAAAGCAACAGGGAAGTGATTACCTTAAATGTCAGGGAAGTGATTACCTACCTTTCATGAGGAAAGAGGGGCTAGTGGCAAGGAAGGGGAATGGACATGATTTCTGGGATGCTAGCCGTATTGTGTTTCTTTTTTAATGTAAGTGATGGCATACCAATATTTGCTTTTGATAATTCACTCAATTGTATATTTTTGCTTTGTAAACTATTTCTGTTATGTGTGTGCCATATTTCACAATAAAAAGACTAAAAAAAAGAAAATGCACGTCAAACCTTTAGCACTGTATAAGTTCTCATTAAATGAGATACTTATTTGCTTCAAGAATACTAACCTGGAGACGTTTAATTAGAACTGCAAAACTAAATGAAGTGTTTCAAAATGACAACTCTTCTTCTAGTTGTAAAAGTAAAGAGTGAGACATAAGGTGCCTGGCCCAAGAATGCATCTGGAGACACAGCCATGGAGCCACCTTTCCTGGAGATGTTAATCAAACTAGCAGGTTGCAGGCAAATGCAAGACACTGTGCTCTGCAAGTCCACACCCAGCAGAGCCCAGGAGAATCACCTAGCCTGAGAGGCAAGAATTTCTGACGGTGGAGACAGCATGGGCATTTTATTTAACCTCCCTGATGATTCTAACCTGCAGCCAGGGTTGTGGAACCTGCACTGGTGCTGAGGTGGGAGGTGAAAGCTGCTGTCAGAGGCCCCCAAGGAGAACAGCTATCCCAGGGGTGGAGCAGAAGGGCCTTTAGCAGAGCCTGAGCTGACAGTTTTGTGGAGCAGGCTGAGAGGAGTAGAAATGGGGACGGCTGATCCCCAACTCTGCCTCCTCTGAATGAAAAGTTGAGAGAAATTGGTTTCTTGAGACAGCAGCACTTCTGTGTTCATGAATCTGTCCCTTGTCCCTTTTAAGGATTGATCCTGGGATTAATTTTTCAAAGAAGGGCACTGGCATCACTTGGCTCAGCATCATCCTGGATAGCAGGCCACATACTGGATGCACAGGAACCAATGGTTGCAAATAGGATTTTCAGACCTGAGAAATTCTGACTTTTTAACTATTTAGAAAAGTTACAAGGCGTTTCAATGATAGAACAATAAATGAAAATTCTGGTGTATACATTTATGAGTCTTTCTCAAAACACGCCTCTAGAGACAAAAGACATGGTATGAAATGAAGTTAAGCGAGACAAATCTCACGTGAGGGATGTGTGTCACACATTCCCCTCTCATCCGTTTATTGTGAAATACGGCACACACGTCCAAGACCACAGGACCTCTGAGCAGGCCACTGATGCCTCTTCCCCTGCCGGGAGTGTAACCTTTCTGGACTGCTATCACCTGCAATTTTGATTTTAATCACCCAGAGTTAGCAGCAGACTCCACAGATTAAAGGGCAGGATACCCAACAAGATTGCTCTTATTTCAGATGCCAGCCACAAGTTTTGGGATCCCCATGCCACCCACACTTCCGACCAAATGTTGTAAGATCAGGAGGTTCCCATAACTCCCCTCAGTTTTAGTAATTTACTGGAATGACTGACAGAATTCAGGAAAGCACTATGCTTAGGAATAGCAGTTTTATTATAAAGGAAGGTGCAGGAGGTTTATTATATTGGAGGCGCATCACCCTCCAATACATCAATGTGTTCACAAACCACAAAGTGCCACTGAGCTTCAATGTCCAGGTTTTATCGGAGTTTCTCTGTGAAGGTATCATTGAAACATTGGCCATGTGTGTGACCTCAGCCTTCAGCTCTCCTCCCCTCCTTGGGGGCCAGGCTGGCTTAAAGCCCCAACCCTGTAATCACATGTCTGGTCTTTATGATGACCAGCCGCATTCTGAGTCATCTTGTTAGGTAAACTAAGACAGTCAAATGACTCAGGAAATTCCAGGGATTTAAAGTCTGCCTCCCAGGAAATAAGGACAATGGCTAGTCAGATTCTTTATGATCCAACAAGCCTTATACTCTGGGACACCATGTCCAGAAAGAGAAAAATAGGATCCTGCCATCCCAAAGACAGCTTTCGTCTAAGAGCCATATGTAAGAGAGTATTTAAGCCAGCCCTGATACGAAACGGAGCTCTAAATAGAACAAATGCTCAAATTCAGAATGTTCTATTTAAAGTAAAATGCTGTTAATTGGCAAGTGTGACGCTTCCTGCCACCCCATAGGCTGTGGGCTCATGGGAAAGATCCAAGCAGTTTGGAGAATACCTACCTGACCAGCACTAACCTAAGGAGTTTGTATAAATCTAAATTACAATGTAGCAATTTATAGTCAGGAATATTTTGATTAGGCAATTCAGAATCCTTGTACCAGCCTGTTAATGCCTTCTTCCATCTGCAGCAAAGCCAACAAGCAGAGCAAATGTATAAGAGAATGGTGCTTGGTGAGTGTGGAATTGGAGCATTGCAGAACACCACACATTCTCACTTTGGAGCCCTTTTCCAATACTCTGCATGCACGACTTACCTTCATTTTCAAAACAGAATGTTGTCCTTAGATAGGCTTATCATATTTGTTTCTATGCAACCTTACATATATCGTGTTGTGTTTCCTTGAGGACATATCAAGATCATCTTGGTTGACCTTCACAGATTAACAAGTTTCTTTCAGTACATGTTTACCCTTAAATGTGAGAGTGAGTCATTGCTAAAAATGGTTCAACTCATATTCTTATCCAGTTCTGAATCAATTATGACCAGCCACTTTTAGAGGGTTAAATTTCTGAACTTACCCCAGAATTTGGCCTGAATGCTTCTGTACATAGTATGAAGACTTCATCTGTTGGCATAATAAAAAAGCCATCCTTCATTCCAGCCCATGTTTACTCCTCGAGGCATGTGTGACTAATTGCAGGCATTTATTACATGCTTAGTGGTCTGGGTGGTATGTCCTAAATGTTGTTTTTTTGATATTTGATTGTTCAGTCGAAGCCTTTATACATCTTTCAGCAGCAGGGCATGAATAAAGAATGACGTTCCTTCACAATGGCACTAGGATAGGCCCAGGGATTGCAGAGGAATTGGTGGGAGGGAGGAGGAGAGAAGCTCACAAATACAAGGCCACTTCTGCCTCAGATGGATCTCAACTGGGTATGATTTGTTTGTTTGTTTGTTTTTGTTTTGTTTTGTTTTGTTTTGTTTTTTGAGACACAGTTTTGCTTTTGTTGCCCAGGCTAGACTGCAATGGCACAATATCGGCTCACTGCAACCTCCGCCTCTCGAGTTCATGCAATTCTCCTGCCTCAGGCTCCCAAGTAGCTGGGACTACAGGCACGCACCATCATGCCTGGCTAATTTTTTGTATTTAGTAGAGACAGGGCTTCACCATGTTGGTCAGGCTAGTCTTGAACTCCTGACCTCAGTGATCCACCGGCCTCAACCTCCCAAAGTGCTGGGATTACAGGCGTGAGCCATCACACCCAGCCAGTATGTTTTCGTTTTCCAAGATTGTTAAATGAAACGGCAGCTGTTCCAGAGAGTCAAGCCTTGCAACTGAAGCAACATTTAGCTTCAATCACTCAGCACAGTGTCTGCCTCGTAAGCCGATGTTTCAGAAGTGCTCTGAGAGCTGCCCACCCTGGGGTCTACAGGACCCAGAGTTGGACACACGGTTAATTGGCAGGCCTAAAATACCAACATGCCACGGACAGTCCAGTCAGGATGCTGTCATGAGGCCAGTGTGGTTTCTTTGGGAGCAGCCTTTCAGAAGAAGAAGGGAGAATTTTTGTCAGCTGCCCTGGGAGCAGGCCCGGCTGCTGCACGTGGCAGATGGGGTGTTCCATCTGTTTTCTCTCGGGAGTGGTCCTGAGTCCTCACATGTCCCGTGACAGACATGCCTCAGAAAACAGTGCAGTACATAAGCGGGTAGAATCACCAGAGACTCCACCAGAAATTAGTGCAGGCCTTAGTGAGCCCTGAGTCAACGACCCGTGCACAGGATCTTCCCCCGCTGGCAGCTGCAAACCTCACTGAGGCACAAACTCAACACCATGCCCAAAACAAGCACCTTTATCCATCCTCCAACCCCTTCTCTCTGTGCTTCCTGCCCCAGTTACTGGCAGCACCGTCCACCCAGAAACATGGAGATCCATCCCAACGAGTCCCTTCTCTCACCCCCACAGCAACCCATCAACAAGTTCAGCCATTTGTTCTCCAACTTTTCTCAAATCTACCCACTTTTCTACATCTCAACTCCAGCACCTTACTCCAAGTGACAGCCATCTCTCTCCTGAAGAACTCTGACAGCTTTCTACCTGGTCAGCCACATTCACTGCCCCTCCAACCACTCTCACCCTGGTCCAGGGGGATATATTTTTTTAACACAAATTATGTCACTGCCTTAATAAAAGCTTTTCAGTAATCTTTCACTGGCCTTGAGACAAAGACCGATAACCAGGTTCTGCAATTCCAGTCTCATCTTGGGCCACACGCCACCCCACAAATCTCAGCACACAAGTCCTGGCTGCTGGGTTTCCTCTCGGTTCACTAACACTTGGACCTGATGCTCCCTCTGCCTGCAATGGGGCTTTTGCAACTCCACCCATTCTCTCTTTTTAAAAATTGTGATATATATTATCACATACATAACATAAATTGTACCAGTTTAAACACTGTAAGTGTACAGTACAGTGCCATTTAATGCCTTCACATTGTTCTGCAGAAATATGAAACGCTTCACGAGTCCTCCTTGCACAGGGGCCATGCGAATCTTTCCGGGATTGCTCCAATTTTAGTATACATGTTGCCGAAATGAGCACCCTACCCCCTTTTGTCTATAAACTTTGACTCATCTTTGGATTTTGGCTTAAAAGTCACTTATTCAGAGAAGGCTTCAAAACCAGGCTCAGTGCCCCACTGCACATCACCTTGGCTTCACAGCACTTGGTGGCAGTGATGTGATGGTCGGATTGGTGTCTGTTCCTCTTACTAGACTGCAGGCTCCATGCAGGCAACACTCAGGCCTGGAGGGTGTAAGGCACATGGTTGGGTTCCATATAGCCTAGTTCAATGAACAATGCTTGAATGAATGGAGAAATGCGGTTCTACCCACAGTGAAGACCACCCTTGACATCATTATAGAAAATCATGTGGTTCTATGGTGTCTTAAAAACTATTTCAGAGTAGGATCTTGGCTTCACCTTTCGAAAACCAAAACGCACAGTGAAGTGTCTTTTCTCCCTTTTCTCAAACAGAAGAGCAATTTTCCTCCAACCATTAATTTGGGCTTCATCTCTTACAAAAGAGGAAGCCACCGGGTAGTTTCTAAATGGTAGGTTTTCCATTGATTTTGTTCATCAAAGTTTCAAAACTAGCAAATCTAGAATCAGACTTCTGAAGCAGTTCGTAATTTCTGAAAGCTAATGTGAAGTGGAATTTCTTTCTTTCTTTTTTTTTTTTTTTTTTTTTTTTTTGAGACGGAGTCTGACTGTTGACCAGGCTGGTGTGCAGTGGTGCGATCTTGGCTTACTGCAAGCTCTGCCTCCCAGGTTCACGCTTTTCTCCTGCCTCAGTCTCCCAAGTAGCCGGGACTATAGGCGCCTGCCACCACGTTCTGCTAATTCTTTATATATTTTTTTAGTAGAGACGGGGTTTCACTGTGTTAGCCAGGATGGTCTCGATCTCCTGACCTCGTGATTCGCCCACCTTGGCCTCCCAAAGTGCTGGGATTACAGGCGTGAGCCACCACTCCCTGCCGGAGCTTCTTTTACAGTAAGACACTCAGCCCGATCCTCCCCACCATGTCTGCAGAGAAACACTCTCTCACCCATCGGGGATTGAGTGTGGAACATGCAGATGGGTCTCCCTGGAACCGGAAGTGTGTCTGCACCCGCCAAGTTCATGAAAAACTCAGCCACGCTGGACTCTAGGAAGCCCTGCTATGGGGCCAGATGGGGTGGATCTAGGATTTCATGGGACCAAGGACTCAACCCAGAGTTAGAGCAAGAATAGGTAACATTCACTTATGCGACCGTTCACACTGTGTTACTCATAACACCAGGAGCAAGAGATGAACCTCATCGGCATCCACAATAGCATCCTAAGGAGATAACATTCAGAGTTCAAGCAGCTGCCCCAAGAGGCTTTCAAGGAGTGCTGGGCCAGATTTGTTATCTGATTTTAGTACTAAAACTCTTGTGCTTTTCACTCCAGTTTGCTCCATATGGCATTCACCACTGCATTTTTGGAAGCAACTTCCACTATAATGGCACCCTCGAAGTGGCATAAAGATCTGGTCATTTGCACCATGGGCAAAGCCATACAAAGTAGAAAGATTTGTGCCCTATGACTGTAAGGCCTTTTAATGTGACTGAACACTCAGACTTGACCACACACTCTGTGGTTGTTCAGAGTGTGTGGACTCTCTGGCTGATCAAAAGCCCGAGAGGGGGCAGCACATGATGAGCAGGACTACCCGGTAATGCTAAGCCCCTAAAAAGTCCTGGTCCCATGAGCCATGCCCCAGGCTCTGCCTCGACTGTTCGGAGTGTCCTGTGTAAACACTGTCTTGAAGCTGGTGTCTATTCTGGCTTTCTGCAGTTTCACTTAATCTTGAGGGGAAAAGCAAGGATGCCCTCTGCCTCCATGCGTAGATTCCCATAAGCTGGGTCCCCCGGGCTTCCTCTAAATCCTGCCTGTCCCCACCCTCCTCATGGAGATCCCAGTGAAGAACACGCTAATCTCTTTGAGCCAGTGAGGAATGAAACGCATAAGTCTCCCACTGCAGGATCAGGGCGTGCTGAGATAACCCCTCCAGCTCTTGGCCCAGGAGGTGATAAAAGAGGCACCTGCCATGAAGTCACCAGCTGAAGCCTTCACCCTTGGCCCTCAGCACCCCCGTCCAGCCTTGGCCCCACTGAGCCAACGATTCCAGTGACCCTAAACATCCCACAGTTCCATATCTCCCGTCTCCCCATGAGGCTTCCCTGCTTTCTGTCGACAAAGCTGCCTTTCATCACCTCTGTGGCATGTTCCCCTCCACTCGCCCTCCATGACCCTCACCTCCTCTGCCCTTGGCCGCAGCTCGTTCCCCTCCATGTCAGCTGTCAGACTCCAACTGCAGCAGCCCTTGAGGCACTCAGCTTTATTCACACAGCAACACAAACACACATCCCCCCAAACTTTTGTTCTCTGCCTCCTTTTAGGTTTTCCAAAGCTCCTTTGTTTGGAAAAGAAATCTTCCCAGGACTCCCTCATCTTACCTCCATAGTCTCACCTTCCACCAGATTCCAAGAAGATTTCAAACAATTTGGGGTGTGGGGGAAGTGTTTTATAATGATTTCTGTTCTTTTTGTGATTGCTAAAAAGTCATTTTCACCATCATTGTAATTATTATTTACTCTTGATTTTCACTCTGATCCCTACTTATACAATTATTTCTCCTGACATAAAAACCTTCTGCTTTTGTATTCCTTTAAATTAATGGTTTTATTGTTGAATCTTAACTTTGTCCCCTTAAGAATAGTTTCCAGTGAGTTCTGCATTTTACAGTCTGTACATGCTCATTTTTCCTTTCAGGTGTGTGTTTTCTCACATGATGACTTCACATGAGGACACACTGTAAGTGTAAAGGCATCCAAGAACATGCTACGGTTGGGGATCACATCTCCCTGAGGCACAGAGGACTGCTCTGTTTGTTCAGGTATTTATTCCTGTTCATTGACTCTTCCTTGCTTTTCGGGAAAAATCGATGCCCTTAGA
The DNA here is from genome assembly GCF_000001405.40 of Homo sapiens. Lineage (NCBI taxonomy): Eukaryota > Metazoa > Chordata > Mammalia > Primates > Hominidae > Homo > Homo sapiens. Next base: position 38,677,064 of record NC_000009.12, on the reverse strand, counting down.
AAACCACCAGAGGACCAGGCAGAGTGGCTCGCGCCTGTAATCCCAGCACTTTGGGAGGATGAGGTGGGAGGAACCCTTGAGCCTGGGTGGTCGAGACTGCAGTGAGCCATGATCGTGCCACTGCACTCCAGCCTGGGTGACAGAGCAAGACCCTATCTCAACAATAACAACAAAAAGAGCCACCAGTGGTTGTAGAGAAATGCTAATGATTTTTTAAGGGGAAATTCTTAAGTGCAACGAATCCATTATCAAGTGCTTACTTATTTCTAGCACCTATAGTTTAAACAATTTTACAATTTTTTTTTTTTTTTTTTTTTGAGAGAGAGTCTCGCTCTGTCACCCAGGCTGGAGTGCAATGGAGCGATCTTGGCTCACTGCAAGCTCCCGGGTTCATGCCGTTCTCCTGCCTCAGCGTCCCGAGTAGCTGGGACTACAGGCATCTGCCACCACGACTGGCTAATCTTTTGTATTTTTAGTAGAGACAGGGTTTCACCGTGTTAGCCAGGATGGTCTTGATCTCCTGACCTCGTGATCCACCCTCCTCGGCCTCCCAAAGTGCTGGGATTACAGGCGTGAGCCACTGCGCCCGGCCCCATTTTACTATTAAAATTATTCATGACCATGCATTTTAGAGGGCTCACTTAACAAACTTACTGTTGAAATTGCAGAAGTGGAAAGGTGGGAAAGCAGCACTGAGGAGGAACAGCACATGGAACTGGAAGCAACCATGCAACTTTCTTTAAGCTAATCTGAAAGGGCAGTGCCCAGCTACAAAGTTGGGCATTGTGTTGGGAATTAACTTGTCTTTCTGTACTGAGTTAAGTAAGGAGAAGGGTTGCTGTGCTCTTCCATGTAGAGAGTTTGGTGGTGGGGGAGGATCTGAGTCTTCTAACAACAGCAACACAAGCTCTGACCAGTTCCTAAAGTGGAAGGTGCCCTCAGCCCGGTGGCCAGCATGGGAGGCAGCTGGAATGATGGGGATGCTGTGCTCATCAAACCCTCTGTCATTTGGTGAGTTCAAACCTGACTTCCTACTGCTTCAAGAGCATAAATCAGAAGAGGATTTATAAGGACTTGACATCTAGCTTAGAAGAACAAAGTAGTATAATGAGACCAAAATACAACCATTCAGAGGCTTTTCCTTCTTCCTTCTCACACTGTCACTTTGGCAAAAGAGGCCTCAGTTGTCATGCTTGGTTCGCTATCCTGGGAAAATTCCTTAGAATGTCACTTTCTTATGGCTGCTGCATTCTTAGTATTTTATTCCAAAGTCACCCACATTCTCCAGATTTAGAGGCTTTGGGGCCCAAAAGTGAAAAGGGGCATCTAGTAAACGAACAACATAACATTACTTGCATTTTTTACATTTTCAGGACTTGGTATGTTTTAATTTACATAATGCCTTATACATAGCACTTGAAGCTTGTTTTGCAGAGTAGAATAAAAGATATATAGAACTTTTAACATTTTAATCATTCCCAGTCATGAAGCATCCGATTCAAACATAATCACTAACTCTGAAGACAAGGATTATCCATGGCTGTGTAACAAATTACCCCCAAAACTCTCCGGCTTAAAACACCCATAAACATTTATCACCTCTCAAAGTTTTCTGTGGGGCAAGGATTTATGAGCAGCTTCCCTGGGTGGTTCTGGCTCAGGCTCTCTCATGAGGCTACAGTCAAAAAGTCAGGACTGCCGGGGCCTGATGACTTGAATGGCTAGGGAATCCACTTGCACATTGGCGAGCTCACACAGCCGGCACAATGCTGCTGGTTGCTGGTGTGAGGCCTCAGTTCCTCATCAAGCGTGCATCTCCCCAAGGCTGCTTGAGAGTCTTCATGACATGGTGGCTGCCTTCCCACAGAGTGTCATCCTGGCAGAGACAGAGCCAGGTGGAAGCTGCATCCTTTTGATGGCCTAGTCTCAGAAGTCACATGGCCTCACTTCCACCACCTTTATTCACTAGCTGTGAGTCGCTAAGTTCAGCCCATATTCAAGGGGAGGGAGTTACAGTCCACGTTTTGAAAGGAGGAGCATCAAATAATTTGCAAACATGTTTTGAAACCATCAGTGGTTATATTTTCAGGCCAATGATTTTAAACCATTATAACTTATTTTGAAGTACACTTATACCAAGTAAAATTCACAAATCTTAAGTGTAAAGCTTAGTGACTTTTCACATGAGTAAATGCCTGTGTAACCATCACCTAGGTCAATATATGGAATGTTTGAAACACCTCAGAAAGTTCCACCATGCGAGTCTCTGAATTTGAATGTTTTGTGTACACCGTTATCACCTGCAAATAAAGACAGCTTTAATTCTTCCTTTCTAGACTTTGTAACTTTCATTTATTGTTCTTGACTTACTGTACTATCAAGGTTGAATAGAGCTGGTATGAGTGGGTATCCCTGTCTTGTTCTCAACTTAGGGGGAAATGTGTTCACTATTTCATTGTATTTATCTGTAGAGTTTTTAATAGATAACTTTTATCGGATTGAGAAAGCTTTCTTCTGCTCCTAGTTTGATTGAGCTTTGGATATAGAAAAGTAAATAGAATCACGACTCATGATTTTGCTACTTGGTCATAGCTTTAAGCATTTGCTAGAGTACTGTCTTTAGCTGTGAAGGTTCTTTATCTAATTTACAAAAAAAAGCAAATTGTGCTAGGCCTACACATGGAAAAATATTGTCCAGGCAGTCTTCAATCTCCAAATATGTTGATCTTCAAATGTGTATGTTTGTCAGTTCCTTGGGAATTGTGAGACTTTTTCACATGAAACCTTAGTTGTGCTCGCTGCTTCAGTATTTAGGTCAATTCCAAAAGTCTATTTAATTACCTTATGCCCGAAGCATGGCTCTGTGCTATGGTGGCGGAGAGTGGGAGAGGGGTTTTGAAGAGAAATGGAAGGGAGAAGAGAGAGGAAGCCTAGGCACCAGCAGCACCAAATACAGCAGCGTACAGAGAGTACAGTTCTCACAGCCAAAGACGCACGGAGCCACCCCAAAGCCGGGTGTGGCTGACATTTGTGAATTGGCATTCTGTAACTCAGGGCTCTATAAACCTTGCCACATGTGGTGAGAATTTTTAAATATCTCAACAGCCAATTCACATGGCTTCAAAAGCAATAAATTTTAAAACAAGAACTTTTGAATGGCACTGACAAAGTGTCCTCAGATTCATTATCACATTTACTCTTCAGCGCAGCCCTGTGAGGTTCACATCCAGGCCTCACGGAGGAGGACACTGAGGCCGGGAGACTTTCCAGGTCTTGCCGGGGATGGCACAGCTTGGCTTTGGTGCCCAGGACTGAGCCATGACTTAGGGCATGCGCTCTTTTCATTGTATTGTGTTCGCAACGATTGCCTAACAACTTTTTGTACGGTTTTTAAAAATTACTGCAGCAGATATGTCTGTGCTGAATGTAACTTAAGATGTTAGTTTGCTTCACGTAAACTGAAGCGGCTCATTTTCGGTCCCCAGCTTTTCGTCACGGTGCGTTTAGCCATTTGGCTGAACAAATAGAGGGACTGTTTCTTCCTCCTCCTTCTCTCAGCACATTCACCTTTTCAGCACAGAATTTTATGAATTCTGCTCCAGTTGTCCAGGTGTAAGAGAGGGAGAAATCTGGAGAAGGAATACTAATTCTATAACTTGGCAGAGACTATCTGCCATAAGCCTAATAGTCAATGAAAACCACTGAGCGTACACATTTCATTTACATTTCCCATCGCCAAGTGCAAGGCCCTGCCTTGGGAACTTTTAGGGCCATAACTGTGGAGTTTCAGAGAGCAAGTCTCAATTTACTAGTTAGTCCTTAATGTAGATGTTTGGACCACTCTTGTTTTTAAAGTGGTAAAACACACACCAGAACACTGTCGAGCATACACGTTTTGGATGTCAGATTGATTTTCAGGGAGGCAGTGGTCTGCAAAGCTGGCAGAGGAGTGGCCCGGCGCGGTGGCTCACACCTGCAATCCCAGCACTTTGGGAGGCTGTGGTGGGTGGATCACTTGAGGTCAGGAGATGGAGACTATCCTGGCTAACACGGTGAAACCCGGTCTCTATTAAAAATACAAAAAATTAGCCGGGCGTGGTGGCAGACGCCTGTAGTCCCAGCAACTCGGGAGGCTGAAGCAGGAGAACGGCGTGAACCCGGGAGGCGGAGCTTGCAGTGAGCCAAGATTGCGCCACTGCACTCCAGCCTGGGCGACAGAGCGAGGCTCCATCTCAAAAAAAAGAAAAAAAGAAAAAAAGAAAAAAAAAAAAAGCTGGCAGAGGAGCTCCTTTGGATAGAGGACACTTCAACTTTGATGGGGGCGGGGTTCCCCGGCTCTCTCTGGAGTGAAAACCCCGTGCACCACAGGGCACTTCCGTGAGCCGGAGGAGCAGCAGGGCCTGGCGAGCCCATCACAGAGGGAGCCTGCGGTTTCAGAGGCGACCACAGATCCGGCTGAAGAGCTGGTCCGAGAGCAGCTGGCTCTGCTGGGTGTGGCCAGCGTCTCTGCGGGGTACAGACCCAGCAGGGGGCAGCAGGGCCCTCAGCGCTCACATAACAAGCGCTGACCTCTGGGGAAGGCAGGCTCACATTTCCTCAAGGTTTTCTATTTGCACCAGATGAATTCAGTGTCAAATATGAAAGGGCATCTTTCCAAGGGCCGTTAAGAGAGTCTCGTTTACTATGTAAACAAGGACAGAAGGCATCGAAGCCGGCATGCCATTATTCCTTGGCTTCTGAACGTTCGAGTGGAACTGCTTGTCCCGTGATTGCTACTAGCATTAAAATATTGGTTGGATTGTCCCATGAACATGAAAGTTTACAGCAAAGAGTGATTTTTCCAAAAGAGGAGCTGCAACAGTATTTGAGTTCCGCTTCTACATCCTTAATTTTCTGAGGTTCCCTCAGAAAATCGGCAGAGTGGGTAGGATTCAGAAGGTTTTTCAGGGCTTCGATTAGTCGGAATTTTTTTTTTCAGTTCCCTTAGAGATTTATTTTGAAGTGCCCCTGCCATGACTTTTCTGCCTGCCTGTGTGGCTTTCAAACCTGACCACCAAGTGTTTAGGGGTGAGTCATTTTCCCACAGGTAGGAGAGTAAGAAGAGTCTCTAGCCCCCACGGGGAGGGTCATGAGAGCAAACACGAGAGAGGACTTGGTCCTTACCAGAGGTCATCTCCAAAAAAGTGAGGTGTTCCAGTGATCATTCCCTGACCGATGACTTCCTGAGCTATTTTCTGCAGTAAACAGTCTCTATGAGATATCATAGGAAATGAGTTTTAGACTTTCTTTCACCAAACATTTCTTTTATTGTTTTCCAGTAACATTTGCATTGTTTCACCCTGATCTCATCTATTCACCATTTGTGACATTTTTTCAAGCCTCGGTTCACCTCTTTTTCATGTCCCCTTCTGGTCTTTTGAGATAACACTTTCAGAATTTTGCCATTCTGCTATGAGGCCTGTGTCTATTTGCGTGAGAAGAATTCCACGTGGAGGAGGTGAGGGCCCAGTTGTTTGGTTTGGAGAAGCCCATGACTGCTCATTCGTCTGAGGCCCTGCCTATGCCAGGTGTATGGAGTACTTTCATGTGACATGTACAGCTCTTCCAGCTGAGCATAAAAGCAGGCTCCTCACCCTTTTATCAAATAATTGACTCAGAACTTTAACCAAGACAGATACAAGTATCTTAAGACCTGAATTTATTTTTTAATTTACTAGACATTGTGTTTAGTGTACTAATTACAGTGTATAATTAAAGAACAGCGTAGGGTTGGCTAACATAGAAGGTGGTTAAACTCTGGTGTGCAATACCCTCTCAGTAAACTTTTAAATGGCATGGGTTGTGGTTGAGTGATATGGAGAAAAGTCTTGGCCTTTGGTTCCTATTACTACTTCTCATCTCTTGCTCTTATTTACTGTTTTGGGCTGTTCATGAAAGGGATTTTTTTCTACTCCCCAGCTCTTGCTCATAGGTAATTCAATAATAGTTAAGTCATAAATATCTTAAATGAGAAAAGTTTATTCCTATTTAGATTTCTAATTACTCCGCAGAATTTGAATTCCACATAATTTGAGATTGCTTTAAGAGTCCACTAATAACCAGTGCTGGAGTGCTCTCTCATCACTCATAACGGGGCACTAAATGTCAAATGTTCATCTAGTGATTTATGCTCTTATTTCACAGCTTTCCTTAATTGCTTTTTACATAAATCTGAGAAATAGTGATTAAAGTATTGCAGGCTTTGGCACATTTATCATTAGCTTGTAATATCTTCTGATACAGCGTTAAGTGCTTGGCTAACAGAGATGAAGCAGTGCTTTAGTCACAGGGCTTGCCCTGCTGTGGAGAAGGCTCTGTTCCCAGAAGGGAATGGCCAGTGGTGCAGACTGTCCCTGTCTCAGAAGAGCCCATCCATTTCCTGGGAATTCGTAACCCACAGCAAGAAACATCACCTTCTAATTTTCCTATGGGATCATACCCACTAGATACAAATGATAATGAAATATCCTTTGCTGTTTTAATTTTTAAAACACTGAATGCTCAGTCTGGGTGCAGTGGCTCACACCTGTAATCCCAGCACTTTGGGAGGCCGAGGTGGGTGGCTCACAAGGTCAGGAGTTCAAGTCCAGCCTGGCCAATATGGTGAAACCCTGTCTCTACTAAAAATACAAAAATTAGCCATGTGTGGTGGTGCACACCTGTAATCCCAGCTACTTGGGTGGCTAAGGCAGGAGGATCACTTGAACCAGGGAGTTGGAAGTTGCAGTGAGCCGAGATGGTGCCACTGCACCTCAGCGTGGGTGACAGAGACTCTGAAGAAAAAAGAAAACACTGAATGCACAGGAAATGGGATCAGCCCTCAGTTTCTTCTCATACTTTGGCCCTAAAGCCCTGATAACCGTGAAAACTGCTTCTGAGGATGGAATGAGCAGGATCTTTGAACTAAAAAGCACTAGCAAATGTGTGGTGTCTGCTCTGTGGCATTCTCTTTCTAAGAACGTGTTGTCCTGCCCCAATCTGGCTGTCTCTTCTCTTGTAGGGTCATACAAGAGGAGAGAGGGTCATGGCAAGAATTGGTCCAATCTTTATAGATGTTCTTTTTCCAGAAAATGGGTAAAAACTACGTTTTTTTGTTTGTTTGTTTTGTTTTGTGTTTGACAGAGTCTCATTCTGTCACCCAGGCTGGAGTGCAGTGGCGTGATCTCGGCTCACTGCAAGCTCTGCCTCCCGGGTTCACACCACTCTCGTGCCTCAGCTGCCCGAGCAGCTGGGACCACAGGTGGCTGCCACCACGCCCGGCTAATTTTTTGTATTTTTTTTTTTAGTAGAGACAGGGTTTCACCGTGTTAGCCAGGATGGTTTCGATCTCCTGACCTTGTGATCCGCCCACCTCGGCCTCCCAAAGTGCTGGGATTATAGGCGTGAGCCACCGAAAACTATGTTTTTAAACATCCTGTAATGATAATTCATAATGGAATGGAGAAAAAAGAAAAGAAAAGAAGGAAGGAAGGAAGAAGACAAGGAGAGAAAAAAATAAGTCGCATGCACAGCACCCGTGGAAATATCTGAATCAGCAGCAATGCCTTGAAGCTCTTCAGAAATCTTCTCATTCCCCAATTAGAAACAGACCGAGCAGCCTACAAGAAAACTCTCAGCCTTCATTCTGCAAGATCATCACCAGGCATGGCCCTTGCTAAGCCAGTGCTGGGGAGGAGGGCATGAGGCTGCAGCCGGGGCTCTGCTGTGGACCCTGGAACCTGGGACTGAACTGTGCCTCAGCCATCAGCACTGCCTTCCCTCCTGATGGCCTTGGCCTCTGGCCTTCAGGACAGCTGCCCCTCCATTAAACATGTGTGAGATCAGACAATGGGCTGAGTTCTTCCAGTGTCCTTTCCCAACCCCAGATCTCCACCCCTTCCCCTCTTCACAAACACCTGCCCGAGTCCCTACTCAGGTCTCCGGTTGCCTGTTCCCACTCTCTGTGCAGCCACCACGTAGTTCCTGTACAGTAAAAGGTTAATTCAGAAAGTCTGGAGCATTCAAACCCTGTATGTTGAAAAACATGCCTGGCCCTTGGCCAGTTTCTGGGCAGTGACCTCTAGGTGCTCAGAACATCCTGCCTTACGAGAGCATCTTCGTGTACCTGGTGTCTCGGGCCACACCAACATGTGTGCTCACTGTGCGATTATTTCAGGGTGGAGGCCTTGGCCCATGCTCTTTCCATTTGACCACTGAAGAGGCTGGAGACTGAGTAGCTATGGTCAGTATACGGTATGAGGAGAGAATCTACCTCCATTCCCCACCTATTATGCCTGCACCACTGACTCATAAGTTTCCTTCCCTCGTAATTAGTGATGCCGCCTATAAACTCTTATTCTGGGGGGTGGAGCAGAGGAGGGGTCTCTGCCAGCAGCCTGTGCTCTCCAATTCATCTATCTACTCTTAAAACAGACCTACATCTGCATAGAGGTCTGTAATATATTTAAATTTTTCCAATACTCTTGATTTTTAAAGATTTCTTGGTGAATATTGGCACTTACCTACAGGATATTTTAGCAACACTTTGTCCAATCCTGCTCTCCCAATCGCATGGGGCTTTTAATTTGAATTTAATCTTATTATAGTATCCTGCCACTTATTCAAGTCTACTTTTATTGGTGTCTGTAAAGGCTTATGGTTTATGCCATGAAAGCTCCTGTATTTTTTTTTCTTTTGGATTTTTAGTTACTGTACTGTTGCAAATGGGATTCATCACCAGCGGCATCTTGGGTTTTTCACCTGGCTGTGCTGTGACCAGCATCTAGTTATAGGCATACAATAATGTGTAAAAACCACTACCTGTTTCTATGTTTGAAACTTCTGTTTAAGCAGTCAGCAAGCCAGAAATTACCATGACTACTATTTGCTAAGAATCCTGGGCTAGGAGCAACGCCCAACATTTAAAACTTCCCTGAGGACACACTAAATCGAGGCTTAAGATACCTGTTATCTCGCCCCTAGACCCCAAGAGCCATTGTCACATATGTGGGTCCTCCTGGAAAAGCAACCCAGGAAGGCAGTGAAAACCCATCCAATGGTTCCAGCCTGCCACTGGCCATGACATAGCTGCTTTCACCTTGACAGATCTTGTGTGGTTGCCCTAAAAATGCAACTAAGGAAACCATATGAATTCCTTGGTCACCAGGTACTTCATGCATGATCAGAACAGTCCAGCCAGCTGACTTGCAGCCCCTCCAACACGGGGAGAGATAAATGAACAGAAATCAAGGCAAGAGGCCAGGCGCAGTGGCTCATGCCTATAATCCCAGCACTTTGGGAGGCCGAGGTGGGCGGATCACGAGGTCAGGAGATTGAGACCATCCTGGTTAACACAATGAAACCCCGTCTCTACTAAAAGTACAAAAAATTAGCCAGGTGTAGTGGAGGGTGCCTGTAGTCCCAGCTACTCGGGAGGCTGAGGAGGAGAATGGCGTGAACCCGGGAGGTGGAGCTTGCAGTGAGCTGAGATTGCGCCACTGCACTCCAGCCTGGGTGACAGAGAGAGACTCTGTTTCAATAAAAAATAAATAAATAAATAAAAATAAAAATAAATCAAGGCAAGAATCCACGGCCACTCTCTTCTTTGGCTGGAGCCATGACAATATTGATAGTTTTGTTATAGCAATCAGGAAGGAGAAAAAATGCTTTAACTTGTCCCCAGGTCGTAACATGGAAAATAAAACCATTTTGAACCACAGAGGAGTGGACCAATTCAGGTCCTCACAATCTTTTACAGGTCAACATTTTCTCAAGAGGGAAAATCTTCACTCATTGTTCTGTCGCCCAGGCTGGAATGCAGTGGTGCAATCTCAGCTCACTGCAACCTCCACCTCCCAAGTTCAAGTGATTCTCCTGCCTCAGCCTCCCGAGTAGCTGGGATCACAGGCATGCGCCACCACACCTGGCTACTTTTTTATATTTTTGATAGAGACGGGGGTTTCACCATGTTGGCCAGGCTGGTCTCTAACTCCTGACCTCAAGTGATCTGCCCACCTCGGTCTCCCAAAGTGCTGGGATTACATGCATGAGCCACCAAGCCCGGCCCCTTCACTCAATTTTGAGATAAGACTATGGATTTCAGAAGGGACAGGCTCCTTCAGCAGTGTGAGAACTAGGCCTACAGGATGTCACTAAAGTCTCTTATTCTTCTGACTGGAACTATGAATGAGCCTGATGTTCTCATCACCCCACAGCAAACTGGTCCAGTTTGGAAGCGTTTCCAAGCTTTCCAAAATTATCAACTTTTACATTAATTACAGAAAACACTTCAAATGTTATTTATATATTTTTTCTATTTCTGCAAATTTTCATACATACGGAAGCTTTTTAACACTGTTGACCAGTACCTGCACTCAGGGATTTTATTCATGACTGTGTTTTTTAGTGACAAGTTTCCATCTCTTTTTTTTTAGACGGAGTCTCGCTCTGTCACCCAGGCTGGAGTGCAGTGGCATGATCATGGCTCACTGCCAGCTCCACCTCCCGGATTCATGCCATTCTCCTGCCTCAGCCTCCCGAGTAGCTGGGACTACAGGCGCCCGCCACCATGCCTGGCTAATTTTTTGTATTTTTAGTAGAGATGGGGTTTCACTGTGTTAGCCAGGATGGTCTCGATCTCCTGACCTCATGATCCACCCACCTCAGCCTCCCAAAGTGCTGGGATCACAGGCGTGAGCCACCGCGCCTGGCCAAGTTTCCATCTCTTAACAAGGACCTCAAAGGAGGCAGAAAGAACCACTCTCCACTGACCTGAGGGATGAGAGGGAAAGAGAGAGAGAGGGAGAGAGGGAAATGACTCACAAAAAGCATGCTGGTGTCTCTTCACAACTATGTCTAAGCTCATCCATGTGGCTTTGCCTTCTTTTCTTTTAACAGTTTCTTTCACAGAGCAGAAGTTTTAATTTCGATAAAGTCCAGCTTACCTGTTTTCTCCCCTCATGGATTATGCTTTCGATGTAGCACAAAAACTCATCGTCAAATCCAAAGTCATGTAAATTTTCTCCTGTGTTATCTTCTAGAAGTTTTATACTTTTATGTTTTATATTTAGGCCTATGACCCATTTTGAGTTCAGTTTGTGAAGGGTGTAAGGTCTTTGTCTAGATCCTTTTTTTTTTCTTTTGCATGTGATGTCTAGTTGTTCCACCACCATTTGTTAAAAAGACTGTACCTTTGGGCCAGGTGCGGGATTACACCTGTAATCCCAGCACTTTGGGAGGCTAAGGCGTTGTGGATCACTTGAGGTCAGGAGCTCAAGACCAGCCTGGCCAACATGGTAAAACCCTGTCTCTACTAAAAATACAAAAATTAGCCAGACGTGGTGGTAGGCACCTGTAATTCCAGTTGCTTAGAAAGCTGAGTTAGGAGAATTGCTCAAACCCAGGAGGCAGAGGTTGTAGTAAGCTGAGATCGCATCATTGCACTCCAGCTGGGCAACAAGAGCAAAACTCCATCTCAAACAAAACAAAACAAAAACCAAAAACCAAAAAACAAAACTGTCCATTTATCCGTTGAACTGCATTTCTTCTTTGTCAAAAATCAGGTGACTGTACATTTACATAGGTCTATTTTGGGGCTCTCTATCCTCTTACATTGACTTATTTGTCTATTCTTTCACCAATACCAGACTCTTGATTGCTGTAACTTTAAAATAAGTCTTAAAGTTGGGTAATGTCATTCTTTCTTCTTCTTCAATATTCTATTGATCTATCCACAGATCTTTTGCCATTTCATGTAAACTTTAGAATCAGTATGTTGATATCCACAGAGTAATCGGCTGAGATTGTGACTAGAATTGCATTGAGTCGGCCGGGTGCGGTGGCTCACGCTTGTAATCCCAGCACTTTGGGAGGCCGAGGCGGGCAGATCATGAGGTCAGAAGATTGAGACCATCCTGGCTAACACGGTGAAACCCCGTCTCTACTAAAAATACAAAAAATTAGCCAGGCTTGGTGGCAGGCGCCTGTAGTCCCAGCTACTCGGGAGGCTGAGGCAGGAGAATGGCGTGAACCCGGGAGGCGGAGCTTGCAGTGAGCCGAGATCACACCACTGCACTCCAGCCTGGGAGACAGAGAGACTCCATCTCAAAAAAAAAAAAAAAAAAAAAAAACAAAAGAAAGAATTGCATTGAATCTATAGATTCCCAGATGGGAAAACTGACCTCCTGGCAATATTGAGTCTTCCTATCTACAAACATTAAACATCTCCCCATTTCTTTAGATTTGTTATTTCTTTCATCAGAGTTTTGTTGTTTTCCTTCATATAGATCTGATACCTGGTTTGTTAACATATACCTAAGTGTTTCACTTTTTTACTGCTAATGTAATTGGTGTTTTGCTTTTAATTTCAATTGTTTATTGCTGATATATAGGAAACCAACTGACTTTTGGATATTAATCCAAATTAAATTTGGTTTAAATTTCAACCAATTAAAGGTTTCGCATCCTGCAACCTGTCTTTAATGACGTATCAGTTCCAGGAGAATTTTTGTTTATTATTTGAGATTTTTCTACTGAATAATGTAGAATAATGTCATTTTAGACAAAGATAATTTTGGTTTTTTTTTTCCCAATCTGTATACCTTTTATTTCCTTCTCTTTTCACACTGTATTAACCAGGACTTCAGTATAATGCTGAATAGGAGTGATGAGAGGGGACATCCTGTCCTTATTCCCAATTTTAGAAAGAAAGCATTTAGTTTCTCACCATTAAGTATGATGTTAGCTGTAAACTTTTTGTAGATGTTCTTTATCAGTTTGAGCAGTTTTTCCTCTATTCTTAGTTCGCTAAGCGTTTTTAATATAAATGCGTGTTAGATTTTGTCAAATGTTTGTTCTGAATCTATTGATATGATCATTTGATCTGATTCTTCTTTAGCTTGTTGATGTGATAGATTGCACTAATTGTTTTTTGAATGTTGAGATTGCATACCTGACATACACCTCACTTGATTGTGGTGTATACACACATATTGTGTTTTTTATATACTATTGGATTCAATTTGCTAATATTTTGTTGAGGATTTTTGCATCTATGTTCATAAGAAATATTTGTCTAGAGTTTTCCTTTCTTGTAATATCTTTATCTGGTTTTGGTATTAGGGTAATGCTGGCCTCATAGAATGAGTTAGGAAGTATTCATTCTACTTTAATTTTCTGGAACAAATTATGAATAACTGATATCATTTATTCCTCAATTGTTTGGTATAATTCACCTTTGAACCCCTCTAAACTTGGTGCTTTCTGTTTTGGAAGTTTATTAATTATCAATTCGATTTCTGTAGTCCATATAGGCCCATTCAGATCATCTATTTCTCCTTATGTGACATCTAGTAGGTTCTGTCTTTCAATGAATTGGTTCTTTTCATCTAAGTTGTACAATTTATGGGCATAGAATTGTTCATAATATTCATTTATTGTCCATTTAACATCCATTTGATCAGAAATGATGATCCCTGTTTCATTTCTGGTATTAGTAATTGTGTCTTCTTTCTTTCTTCTTAGCCTGAATTGAGAAATTTTAAGATTATTTTCACATAAAAACATACATGAGCACATTTGCAAAGACATCCCTCAGTTGCTGCAGCGCCAGCTCCACCCTCAGTCTTTCCAGCAGCCTGCAGTTCTGCTCTTTTACAGGAAACTTGAGGAGTACCTAAACATCTGACTCTCTGCGTGTTACATTTCATCGCTCCTCTGAACTAGGGCACTGAGGGAAATTTTTCTACTGAAAGGTACCATCTTAATTTCTTTGCAAATTAGCATAGAAGAGAGAATCTTGCACTTCACACTAATGAGAACAGTGTGTGGTTTTGTGATTTGGGAACCTGGCAAGGCCACGCAAGCTTCTTGCTGAGCAGCAGTACCGCACTGCCTCCACCAACCCTTAACATCCCCAGCCTCGAAAGTCAAAATAAAAGTCAGAGTGGACAGGTGAGTATTGGGTGGAAGGATGAGAAGGGATAGGGGAATCCATCTAGCTCACTGCAGGATGATGAAACAGAGACACAGATTTGAGTGTTATTCAAGGTACCAGGAATTTGACTTATACTTGCTTCCTCTCCACAGAATACTGTGAATACACACAGAGCCTGGGCAGAAACGAGATGTTACACAACCTCCAAGATATTTCTACAAGTCGTCTCTCTTATCCATTCTTTCTTTTCATGCCAAAGATAAATCTGTGGCATAAACTTATATCAACAAGTATTTGAAGGAATTTAAATATCTATTAGTAACAAATGGTCTACATATTATTAATATCCATATGGAAATAGCCATATAAGATTTACATGTAAATGACCACATTTCATCAGTATTATAAGGATTTTATTGATTCATTCATATTATGTTAGAATAATGTGCCTATCTAGCACAATACAATCTGAGCACATTTAATTGAATACATAAACTGAATTTTGTCTTCCAAATCTTAAAGTTCATTGATATGTACGACGAAAGCTTACTTATACCATTATCTTGCAACCGTTAGCATAAGATGATTTTACCTTATCTCAGGGAGTATTCAATTCTGTAACCTCTTTTTTTTAGGTTTCAAAAATAATCTTTATTTTTTTAAGTTACTATGTGCATTATAGGAAACTGAAAAACACAAGAAGCAACGAAAAAGGTCATCCACAATCACAAGCAGTTTACAGTTTAACATGTCCTTCTAGGTCCTGTGTGGGTGTAGATACAATAGTCAATTTTATGGGACTGAGATCATATAGTATGTATCATGCTTTTTCACACATCTTGAGTATTTACCAATTCAAAATCTCAAAGCTATATGAGTATTTTGATCATCAAGAATACACTACACCCACTCAATCTGTTGGAAAAACAATGTAATCCTGCCTTTCTTGGGCCAAATTTTCATAAAAGACAAAAATTGGCAACACGCCTCTAAGTAAAAGCGTTGGCAGAGTTTTTATTAAAATACCGCATTCCTTTAGTGCTCACTTTAAAATGAAATATACAGCAATAGAATACACTAAGTATAATGTTTCTAAGAGAATCCATTAGCAGATCTATACTATTCAAATATTAGCAAGGTATGTTTTCATTGAAATACCTAATGTATTCCTATAGTACAGCTAAAAGAGATGCACATACAACAATGGCTATCATCAAAATGTAAATATCGACACATCTGCATACATCTCTCTCTTTATACTTCCTTTTGCTGCTCTGCTGCCAACCTAATGAACAAGTCCTGGCATACAAAGCTCAGAGATGGTTTAACAGTTCCATGTCCAAGTTGCATCTTTTCTATAAATTATAACAAGAAAAAATTTACAAATTGGCTAATTCACTAGTTCTACTTTTTATCACACATTATCACCCCAGGACATTCATAAAGCTTAGATAGTGCAAAATAATAAACTTTGTCCAGAATTACACACAAGCACTTTACTAAAAATGCTCATGTAGACCTATGGTTATCATCTAAAACCATCTTCTAGATGTGGAGATACTAGCAAATAGCTCTTTCCTTCATCCTTCCTTTTCTCCCTCTTCCACCATCCCAGTGACTAGGTATAGGACTATGCCTAGCTCCAAGAGGTGGAATAACAAAGGTCACTCCCAGAAGACAGGCCTCCTAAAATATAACAAAAGAACATTTGTAGACGGATTGTTTTACTACATCTATTTTTAACATACTTTGAGCATTAAGACTTGTTTATCTTTTAATACCCACTATTGGCCAGGTGCGGTGGCTCACACCTGTAATCCCAGCACTTTGGGAGGCTGAGGTGGGTGGATCACCTGAGGTCAGGAGTTCAAGACAAGCCCGGCCAACATGGTGAAACACCGAATCTACTAAAAATTACCAAAAAAATTAGCCAGGTGTGGTGGTGTGTGCCTATAATCCTAGCTACTCAGGAGGCTGAGGCAGGAGAACCACTTGAACCCAGGAGGCAGAGGTTGCAGTGAGCCTAGATCACACCATTGCACTCCAACCTGGGCAACAAGAGCAAAACTCCATCAAAAATAAAAAACAAAACACTATTAACTAAAATGCATATAGAACAATGGTTAGATCATGTGAACTAATCTAACTCTTGGGCACAGAACCCTTCCCTTTGCATACTTCCTCCTCCTACACCCACCATCACCCTATGAACAGTCCAAAGCATCAAGTTTAACCATTCCATTTCCAAATGCAAACACTCCTAAAAAGTAATAAAGAAAATGCTTAAAGGGTGTCACTTTAGCCCTCTACTTCTAACCTATGTTGTGCACTTTTAAACATTTAGAAAGACTAGATGTTTCAAAGAGGACTTAGGTTTTCCACTATATACATAGTAGCATTGAATAAATGGTGCATATACATAACATAGACTGTAATTTGAAAGTGTCTTCTAAATACGAACATTCTGGCCTAGCACCCCTCCCCTGAACATTTTGGCCTAGAACCCTTCCCGTTCCAACCTCTGTCCACCCTGTGGACAGCTATAAGCCAAATGTATTGTGTAGAAAGGATTCTAACAACCTCTGCCTCCAGGGTTCAAGCAATTCTCCTGCCTCAGCCTCCCAAGTACCTGGGATTACAGGTGCCCGCTGCCATGCCCAGCTAATTTTTGTATTTTTAGTAGACACAGGATTTCATCATATTGGTCAGGCTGGTCTTGAACTCCTGACCACAAGTGATCTGCCCACCTCAGCCTCCCAAAGTGCTGGGATTACAGGCGTGAGCCACCGTGCCCTGCCCACTTCTATGTTTTTAACAACAGTCTTCCCTATGAATTTTAACACAAAACGTACTCAGTGTTTTAATTCACTAAATCTACTTTTGTCACGCACTGGACCTCTCTAACATCTACAAAGACTAGATGATATAGATTAGGATTGGTTTGTCCTCTTATGTACGCTATCTACACAGCACAAAGAAAATGCAGACTTAGATCAAGACCATCCTGGCAAACATGGTGAAACTCCTTCTCTACTAAAAATACAAAAATTAGCTGGGTGTGGTG
Source organism: Homo sapiens (assembly GCF_000001405.40). NCBI lineage: Eukaryota > Metazoa > Chordata > Mammalia > Primates > Hominidae > Homo > Homo sapiens. The sequence continues at coordinate 38,660,049 of NC_000009.12, read as the reverse complement.
GTGCACACCTGTAGTCCCAGGTACTCTGGAGGCTGAGGCAGGAGAATCGCTTGAATACAGGAGGCAGAGGTTGCAGAGAGCCAAGATTGCGCCACTGCACCCCAGCTTGGTGACAGAGCGAGACGTCGTCTCAAAAAAAAAAAAAAAAAGATAATAGTCAATGTGCCTCACCATAAACACACTGGTGAAAAGCCCTTTGTACTTTCTGCTCCTCCTTCCTCCCCAAACTGACACAGATATAATAATGTGTACGGCTCAGGGAATTGGTTTGCTCAATTTCCAAAAGACAATATTTCACATCAAAAGGATATCTACAAAATGTGTTATTTACCTCTACTTTTAACATACTTTGTGCACTTCTAAACATCTAAAAAGACTAGATGATGTTTTAAATATGATTTGTTTGTCCGTTATATACACAGTAGTGTTGAATAAATTACACACACGTAACAGTGGTTATAGCCGAAAGTGTCTTCTCAATAGGAACCTTCTGTCCTAGAATCCTTCATTCCTTTCAACTCCTCTTCACCACCAACCAGGTGGATATAGGCACATGAGTCACTTAGAGCTGATGTTATTTCACTCCCAAAAGTCCTTTTCAGAAGACAGTCTTTCTGTGAATTTTAACAAAGCATACAACTTATGCTAGTTTACTAACTCTTTCTGTCATACATTGGCAACCTTTTTACTCTCTAGAGACTCGACTAAATATTATAAAATTAGGACTCATTTGTTCAGTATATACACAATATATACAGTACAGCAAAGGTAAATGAAACGCATGTAACATACAGGCAATGGATTAAGCTGAAATTTTCTTTTTTTTTAAAACCTTTTTTTAAAATTTTATTATTATTATACTTTAAGTTTTAGGATACACGTGCACAACGTGCTAATAAACACTAGCAAAGCAACTTTTGCAATTTCTTCCCTCTCACCACCCTCAACCCAATGAACAATTAGAGAGAGTATGCTGTTCACAGAGGTAGTTCAACAACTCCACTTCCAAATATTATTTCCCATCCATTTTTAAAAAGCTATTTACAAAAAAATATGATTATACTACTTCTGCTTTTAAATAATCACCTGCCAGGCGAGTGGCTCACACCTAAAATCCCAGCACTTGGGAGGCTGAGGCGGGTGGATCATTTAAGGTCATGAGTTCAAGGCCAGCCTGGCCAACATGGTGAAACCGCATCTCTACTAAAAATACAAAAATTAGCAGGGTGGTAGTGGCACATGCTTGTAATTCCAGCTACTCGAGAGGCTGAGGCAGGAGAATCACTTGAGCCTGGGAGGCGGAGGTTGCAGTGAGCCGAGATCACACCAGTGTACTCCAGTCTGGGTGACAGAGTGAGACCCTGTCTCAAAAATAAAAATAAATAAATAAATAAATAAATAATCAAGCACTTCCACATTTCTAGAAAGATTAGATATTTCATGTAACTTGTCCACCACCTACACAGCACTGTTAAATAAAATTGCACACACATAGCAATGGTTATAATGTGAGGTGTCTTCTAAATATGACCATTTTGGCCTCAAATCATTCTCTCCTCACTTCCTTCTCTCTGCCTTCAATCCAGTGGACAAGTACAGACACACGTAATGCTTAGAGATGAACAAATTTCTATCCAAAAGTCATTTGCAGAAGACAAATTTTCCTATTAATTTCAACACAAGGCATAAAAATATGCTAATTTTCTAAGTTCTTTGTCATACATTGCCAATGTCTTTAACAACTAGAGACTAGATGTTGCAAAATTAGTGCTCATTTTTTCATAACATACACTATATACAGAGCAAAACAAAATGCACAAAACATAGAGAAAAAATGGTGTCTGAAGACGTCCAAGTATGAACACGCTAGCATATTACCTTTTGCAATTTCTTCCCTCCCACCTCCTCTAAGCCATTGAACAAGTATAGACAGTACTCTACTGCTCACAATGGTGGCTTCACAATTGAATTTCCAAAAGACAGTATTTCCTATTAGTTTTAGCAAAAAGATATTTACAAAGTGCTATGTTGCCACCTCTACATTTAACATATATCAGGCACTTTAAACATCTAGGTAAACTAGATGTTTCAGGTAAGGAGTTAATTTGTCCACTATGTACACAGTAGTCTGGAATAAACTGCACCCATGTAACCATAGTTATAATTTGAAAGAGTCTTTGAAATATGGACATTCTGGCCTAGGACCCTTCCCAGCTCCATCAACCCAGTGAGAAAGAATGCTCAGATTTTCAGAAGACAATCTCTCCTAGGAATTTTAAAACAAAATGTACAAAATACATTAGTTCACTAATCTACTTTTGCCATACACTGGCAACCTCTTTAACATCTAGAAAAACTAGATGTAAACTGGACTCGTTTGTCCTTTATATACACTATGTACAGAGATACGTAAAACAAAATGCACAGACATAGAGATAATGGTTCATCTTGCCTCACTGTGAGTACAGTGGCACAGAGCTCTCTCCACTTCACCCTTCTCCCGACTCTCCTGAACAGGGGCTCAAACGCACTATGTATTATTCAACAGGTGGTTTGGCCATTCTTCCCCAAAAACAACATTTCATATGAATTTTAACAAAAAGATATTTGCAAAACATGTTATTTTACTACCTCTAATTTTAACATATATCAGACACTTCAGAACATCATGGCTACAATGGCAGAGCCCTCTAGGATTCTCAGCAACACCAGGTACAAATCATCTGTTACCAATGAACAACAATGACAAGCTGGCACAACTCACACGATGCCCCTCAAATCCATGGGTGCAATGCACCACCATTAATTAATCATTATGTTTCACGCTTTGACTAGGGGTCAGCAGGTGCTTTAGCAAAAGAGCTCAGGCTAATTCTAGCCTACTTGAATTAATCCCGACAACACCTACAGGTAACTGGTATTTCTGGGTCATAAGACAGGCATAGGTCTAGCTTTAGCAGGTAGTTCCAGTTTTTCAAAGCAGTTGGTCCACCCTTTGCCCCGTGCAGCAGCAGTGTGTGAGAGTTCTGTATACTTGGCATCCCTGCCAGCACTCAGCATCGTCAGTCTTTTTAATTTTATTCATTCTGTGGAATGTACAGTGATTTTTCATGGTGAGTTTAATTTGCATTTCTCTCATGAGTAATGATATTAAACATATTTCCATATGTTTCTTGCCTATTTTGTATATCCTCTTTGGGGATGTGCCTGTTAATTCTTTTGCCTTAAAAAATTGTCTTTTATTAATTTGAACATGTTCTTTACATACTTAGAACATGAGTCCTTTGTTGGACATATGCATTGTGATTATCTTCTCCAAGATTTTGGCTTGTGTTTCCACTCAATAGTGTACATCAAGGAGTAGAATTTCATAATTTTAATGAAGTTCAATTTATCACTTCTTTATTGTTAGTGCTGATGGGTCGTGTCTATGGGAGGAATCTTTGCCTATCCCAAGGTCATGAAGATGTTCTTTTATATTTTCTTCTCAAATCATCGTTTTAACCTTCAACTTAAGATAGTGATCCATGTCAAATTAATTTTTGTAAATGGGCTGAGCTAAGAGCTTATTCCACATTTTCCATATAGATATGCAGTTGATGTAGCATCATTTATTGAAAATAAATTCTTCACTCACTAAATTGCAGGAGTGGCTTTGTGTAGATTCTGTGACTGTTTATGTGCAGTGTATTTCTGGATTCACCAGCCTCTTCCATTCGACTATTTGTTTTTGTGTCAATACCACAGTGTCCTCATTAACAAAGTTTTAGTGCAAATCTTGAAATCTGGCATTGAGAGTTCCTCAACTTTGTTTTTATTCTTTAACATTTGCCTTGACTATTCAAGATCCTTTATAATTCTATATAAATACAAAGCAATGTATTTCTGAACGGGCTACAACTTCATGAGTAAACACAGCCCATTACACTTAGAAAGTGTTTCTCCACTTGGGTGTTCTAGGGCAGTTTCACGAGAGTGAAATACTCAGGTGGAACACACCTAGAACAGGAGTTAGATGAAAATTGTGGGCAGGACCATCAACAAAGACATGCAGTCCCACAGTTGGGGCTGGGGATGGGGGAACAAGGAAAAGGTCAGGTTGGGGCCAGCCTGAGAAGGATTGGCCCCTGTGGCAGAATCTGCTGGTGCTCTGGGGCAAGAAGAAGAGGAGCTGGGAAGTTATTGCAGTGGTCTAGAAAGAGGCAATGAGAACCTGCACCCAGGTGGTGGCAGAGGGGACGGAGGGGTCTCCTCCAACCCTTGTTGATTTTATCTAATGTTCCCTGCTTCAGAATATGTTTCTGACAATGATATTTTGTGCAGGGCATAAAACTCATTCATAATATTCACATTGGTGACGCTGATTAATTAAAGGGTAATAGAATGAGAAGCACCTTTCAGAAAATATGCAGACAAAAGCAATGATTCTGGTACATAGAGGACAGAAAGGCTTTATTTCACAGTTACCAGGAGTAACCATTTGAGTGTGAGAGCCAAGCCCCAAAGTGGACTCACCTCTCAGATTAAGTTCAGACCCGTTCACCATCACTAACACAGTAAAATGTTATATTTGCTGTTTGTTTTCCCTGCAAACTTAGCCCAACTGGCACTATTCTACCGGGAAAAGGGGAGCCCAGGCTATTTCCTCTGGGGCTCACTAGAGTCCCCTGCCACCCTTTTGGTTCCTGTCCAGATTTTTCCTAGACCCTCTGTTCTGCTTGCTTCACCCACCACCTCCCATCAGAAAAAAAATCAATAAGATCTTTCTCAGTAAGATATAATGAAGACTTCAGCTTTTACATTCTCACAAAGGACAAAACCTTATAACTGATGAAAGCTATGAGAAGGAACAAATAATTTATAGCATTGCAGTCTTCAGAAAGCCAGACGTGACAAAATTTCTGTGAAACTGGCCCCAGAAAGCCGGGCGCGGTAGCTCACACCTGTAATCCCAGCACTTTGGGAGGCCGAGGAGGGCGAATCACGAGGTCAGGAGATCGAGACCATCCTGGCTAACACGATGAAACCCTGTCTCTACTAAAAACACAAAAAATTAGCCGGGTGTGGTGGTGGGTGCCTGTAGTCCCAGCTACTCGGGAGGCTGAGGCAGGAGAATGGCATAAACCTGGGAGGTGGAGCTTGCAGTGAGACGAGATCGCACCACTGCACTCCACTCTGGGTGACAGAGCAAGACTCCGTCTCAAACAAAACCAAACAAAACAAAAAAACTGGCCCCAGAAGACACAAGCACAGCCTCCTCTTTGATACCAATGTGAAACATTCTCCATCTTTACCCCTGCAGAGTTGAGTCGTTACCTCTTCCAAGTTGAGTCGTTTTGAGAGTGATGAAGCGTACTGGAGTCAGCAGTGTTGCTAATAACCGCTGGAGAAATCAATAAAGGTCCTTGGTGCAGATGGGACACAGCAGCAGCTAAAACTGAGGACAAACTCCGGGGTTTGGAGTCAGTCTGGCCCCTTTGCATGTGTAACTGGGATGAAGTGTTAACTTCACTGCTGTGTGAATGTAAAATGCCGCATTATTTTCTCTAAAACAAATTAACTTTCATTCTGGGCTCTATCACACCAGGCTCAAAATACAGTCGTGATTGGGACAACCTCCCCATTCCCTCCTCAAAGTGGAGGGAAGTGCAAGGGATCTGAAGCCCACACGGGCACACACATGCACACACACAGAACTGAGGGTGGTTCTTTTTCATGGAGTTCTGCCATATGCATTTTGTAAAAATGCCGCTTTTTATTTAAAATACATCAGGGACACCACTCTTAGACAAGACATGACCTTGGAGAAGTGTGGGTGGTAGAGCTGTCATCAGTGGGAAGCAGTAAATGGCAGAAGTAGAAAGTGGGGACAACACTGGCCAGGCTGCTGCTGTGTCTTGGGCCAGGCTCCCCCGAGCAGAGAGGAAACAGCACCATGCAATTCCATGCAATGGAATTCCACATGCTGCTCAGTCGTACTTGGATCCTGTCCTCATTGCTTCTAACTACATGACTTTGAACCTTAGTTTTCACATTCCAAAGTGGGAATAATAATAGTCTCACCTCCTAAGGTTGTTTTGAATATTAAATAAGAAAAAGTCACGCCTATAATCCCAGCACTTTGGGAGGCGAGGCAGGTGGATCATTTGAGGTTAGGAGTTCAAGACCAGCCTGACTCCGTCTCTATTAAAAATACAAAAATTAGGTTGGGTATGGTGGCTCACGCCTGTAATCTCAGCACTTTGGGAGGCCGAGGAGGGTGGATCACAAGGTCAGGAGATCGAGACCATCCTGGCTAACACGGTGAAACCCCGTCTCTACTAAAAATCCAAAAAAAAATTATCCAGGTGTGGTGGCAGATGCCTGTAGTCCCAGCTACTTGGGAGGCTGAGGCAGGAAAATTGCTTGAACCCGGGAGGTGGAGTTTGCAGTGAGCCGAGATTGCACCACTGCACTCCAGCCTGGGCAACAAAGTGAGACTCTATCTCCAAAAAAAAAAAAAAAACAAAAAAAAACACAAAAATACAAAAATTAGCTAGGTGTGGTGGCGTGTGCCTGTAATCCCAGCTACTCGAGAGGCTGAGACAGGAAAATTGCTTGAACCTGGGAGGCAGAGCTGGCAGTGAGCCGAGATCGTGCCACTGCACTCCAGCCGGGGCAACAGACCCAGACTGTGTCTCAAAAAAAGAAAAAGAAAAAAAGAAAAGAAAAGAAAAAGAAAAAGAACGTAATGTGCCTGGAAACAACATGAGCACAAATAAATGTTAGTGCCTGCCCCTTATGGTAAATGATATTTTTGGTGTGACAAATACTGGGGTGATTATGGGGACATTAGAGCAGTCTCCTTGAAGTCAAGGCTGTTCTGGAATACTGGGGCCTCTGCAAACCCTTTCTGCTTTCTCCTCTGTCTGCTCTCAAGCCCTCTCTGCAATGAAGAGCTTGATTTCTTTTACCTGCATAATTTCAGAATGTATTTCATTTTTCTACATGCTCTGCTTGTGAGAGCCTGTTGCAAATGTCATCAACTTAAAAGAGGTCTGGCATGTGCCATCCTGGGCTGTATCCCACACGAATAACCCTCTTCATGAAACTGTGCGCACCTCCAATCACCTGAATCTCATTCTCATGATCGTCCTTTGAAACGCTCTGGCTGTGCTGCTGAAAATTGCAGCTCTGAAAGACATACTCAAAATCCCTGCCTAAGAAAACAGTGCATCATTGGGCTTGCACGAAATAAAATCTACGGGTGCCAAACCCTTGCACTTAAGATTCCTCAACAGCTGGCTGAAGGGAACACACCCAGAGTAATTTGCATTTACCTCCTGGATAAACCGTCTAATCAAAAGTACTTTGGTATGAAGCATATTGAAATAGGCTGCATTTGCAGTGGGTGGGGTTGATTTATTCATCTGCCTATGCAACGTATGCTGCTTATGCAGTGCTTTACGACAGTCGCAAGTTTGACTGTTCTATTTTTCTCTAGCCGGTGTTCTAGTGGGCTGCTTGCTTTTTATTATCACAGTGCTCAGAGCTGGAGGGTTCACTGTTTCTATGATTGCTGGCTTGGGGGTTAGAATGGCTTTTCTTTTGGTTATTAGTATTACAGCAGATACCATTTATCAAATATGAAGCAATCTTGTGATCTTCTCAAATGCCAACATCATGAAGACCTCAACTAGGAGGTCATGCATGACACCACATGCAAATTTCCTCAACCTTTACCACTCAAAGGACCCACGGTTCACACAACAGAACATTGACTTATATGGGAGTGTGCTCTAAAGGCAGATTCACAGGCCCCACCCAGGGCGACTGAAGCAGAATGTACATTTTACAGGATCTGCAGGTGCTTTGTGCACATTAGTGCCTGAGTGGCACCATCCTCAGCCACCCTGGAGTTTGGGACTCTTTTGAGGCATTACTCCAGTGCTTCCACAAACAGGATCCCATTCAATACAGCAACCTAGCAGCAGCTGCTATCCTCCTCATGTCACATGGCAGGAAAAGGAGGCTCAGCAAGTGACCCATACGGGGTGGAAAGCACTAACTTTTGGAGGAATTAGAATTCAGTCCAGGCCTCTGAGGGGCTCTCCATCCTGCCTGTGCACCAGAAAAAAACCGTGATTATTTAAAAATCAGTTGCTTCGTTCCCTTTGACCCACTGACTTAGAATCTCCTGGGACCATGGCCCTGGTGTCTGTTTTGTTATAAAGTTCCCAGCCTTATGTAGCCAGGCTAGGGGCCTGCATGCAAAATAGTCACCCCATCCAGTCACCCACTGAAGCCCTTGGAAAAAATGAGATGTCAAGCAGCTGCTAACATTGATTTGGCAACTAACACTGTGGCTGGGGGATTTAAAAGTATACTTCATTGTGTTCGGTTCCCACACAACGCCTACTCTGAGATGTGCAGGAAGGTGACAACAGATAGAGACATTTCATCTTTGTGCTCACAGGGCCTGACGCTTAGCAGGTGCTCTGTTTAAGTGTCTGCTGATGAGTGATGGTCGTCAGTGGCCCCCACCTGACCTGGCCTCTCAGCAGCCCCAGTGCTGTCAGCCACTCCCTTTTCCTGAATGTTCTCCTCCCTGTGCCTCTGAAATCGCCCCTCCCTGAACTTTGTCTCTCTGATATAGCCCCACCTCATCTACCGTCTTTTTTTGAGACAGAGTTTTGCTCTTGTTGTCCAGGCTGGAGTGCAATGGCATGATCTCGGCTCACTGCAACCTCTGCCTCCTGGGTTCAAGCGATTCTCCTGCCTCAGCCTCCTGAGTAGCTGGGATTACAGGCATGCACCACCATGTCAGCTAATTTTGTATGTTTTTTTTTTTTTTTTTGAGATGGAGTCTCGCTCTGTCGCCCAGGCTGGAGCGCAGTGGCGCGATCTCGGCTCACTGCAAGCTCCGCCTCCCGGGTTCATGCCATTCTCCTGCCTCAGCCTCTCCGAGTAGCTGGGACTACAGGCGCCCGCCACCACGCCCGGCTAATTTTTTTGTATTTTTAGTGGAGATGGGGTTTCACCGTGGTCTTGATCTCCTGACCTCATGATCCATCCGCCTCAGCCTCCCAAAGTGCTGGGATTACAAGTGTGAGCCACCATGCCCAGCCTAATTTTGTATTTTTAGTAGAGACGAGATTTCTCCATGTTGGTCAGGCTGGTCTTGAACTCCTGACCTCAGGTGATCTGCCCACCTTAGTCTCCCAAAGTGCTAGGATTACAGGCGTGAGCCACCGCACCCGGCCTATCATCTACCTTCTTTTAGGCTGCTCCTTCTCTACCCTACACGACATGGAGAGCTCACCAAGACTCAGGCTTGAATCTACGCCTCATCACCCTGAACTTTCTTCACAAGGCAACCTGCTGATGTTCCCACTCTTAAATCTCAAACCTACACCTCCGAGCTCAAGACTTAGACATCTTCCTGCATGCACAGGATTTCCAGTAAAGTGACTCGTAGTCTTAGGTTGCTTGTGCATTGTTTCAATGCCAGTCCCTTCAAGACAGAACCCCTGATCTTTCCCCATTAACCTGGTCCTCGTCTCACAGTCCTTGACTCCACAAATGGCACCAGTCTATGCAGTGTAGAAGACAGACACCTAAGAATGCTCTGTAACATTCTCTTCCTTTTCTCTCGTATTCAACCCATCTCTAAGCTACTACCTGTCAATTTTACCTTCTAAGTGTCTCTCCAACATATCCACCTGGTGTCCATTGTCACCACAGCTACTGGCCTCTTCCAGGCTACAATCTGCAATCCTCTTGCTTGGACTCCTGCAGGAGCCTTTGAATTCTCTCTACATTCATTCTGACCCCTCCAATCCATTCTCCACACTGCAGTAGGCAGCATCTCCACTGGCACCCAGACGTTCCCACCCCCTGGCATTCACTCCCTGGTACAATCTCCTCCTGAGTGTGGGCCGTTATCAGGTGACTTGTTTCTATGAATAGAATATTGTAAAAGTGACAGAATGTCACATTTCAGATTAGGTTACAGAAAGAATGTTTTCTCTCTCTCCTGCCTTCCCATTCTGGGGGAATCAAATTGCCATGTTGTGAGAAGCCTTAGGGAGAGGCCCATGAGACAATGAAGAAATGCCTCCAGCCGGCAGTGAGCAAAGGCCTGAGGTCCGCCAACAGCCACTCGGTGACCTTGAATGTGAATCCTCTCCCTAGGCAATCCTTGAGATAGCTGCAGCTCCCGCTGACACTGGATGGTAACCTCGCGGGAGACCCAGAGACAGAGGACCCAGCTAAGCCATGACCAAGTTCCTAGCCCAAAGAACTGTGAGATAATAGTATAAGTTGTTCTATACCACTACCCTTTGGGGTAATTTGTTACCCAGCAATAGATAACTGATACACCTATTATACCACACTCTTCTTTACTTCAAGATCACCCATTCTTTAAGAATAAAGACTAAAACCCTTGACGCCTGAGGGCCTTTGTGACCTGGACTCTGCTGACCTCTGCACCTCACCTGGCCACTAGGCTCCCCTACTTTCAGGGTTCCAGACATCTCATCTTCTGGCAGGTCCTTGAAGAAGTTTAGCTTCCTCTGGACACAGGGCCTTTGCACAGGCCCCTTTGCTTCACATCCCTTTGACTCAGCAGAAGTGTCACTGCCTATGGGAAGCCTCCCCTGACTCCTCAGGTCTACGCTGGGCTCCATTGATGAATACCCTTATGGGTGCCTGTTCCTTGACTTTACAGGGTTGACCTGCTGCCCTCAGTTTGTAATTGTACACTCATGTCTGTGGCTGTTTTACTACAGTCTATCTCCCTCACTAGGCTGTAAATTCCAGAAGAACAAAAAACACGTGGCAAGGCTCATGTCTGTTTAGGTCACCACTGTCTCCCCAGTACCAGGCATATCAAAAGCTCTTAAACAATATCTGACTAAACAATGAGTAGGTCTGGCGTTTGCTATTCTGCCACACAGGAAAGTTTCCCATCTCCCCTTTCCCAGTCCAGACATCCACACTTCTCTGGAGTCATTTCCAAGAACTATGGGGAGGCTGAAGGGGCTGAGGCCAGTCACACAGCTGTGTGAGCCACAGCAAAGGATATGCCTTTGATTCTAAGTGCACTGAGCACCTTCCCTGTGCTGGACACTGGGCTGGGTGGTGGGAATACCGCGATGAGCAAAATGGGCTCAGCCCTGGGACTCACAGGGTTCTAGTCTGGTTGGGGAGAAAAATGATAACCAAATTCTCACACTAATAGCCACAGCAACCCTCCATAATGGCAACATGCAGGAGTTCTGAAAACACGTCACAATGGAGCCACGCTAATCTAGCAGCAAGGGGTCCCCCTTTTGTAAGTGATCCCCGTCTTTGAACAAAGCCAATGAACTCCACCATTCACATAGGTTTGCTCTTTATTTTTTATTTTTTAGAGACAAGGTCTTGCTCTGTCACCGAGGCTAGAATGCAGTGGCACCATCAGGGCTCACTGTACTCTTGAACTTCTAGGCTCAAGGGATCCTCCCACCTCAGCCAACCAAGTAGCTGGGACCACAGGCACCACCATACCCTGGTAATTTTTATTTTCATTCTTATTTTGTAGAGACAGACTTGCTGTGTTGCCCAGGCTGGTCTGAGCTCCTGGCCCCAAGTGATCCTCCCCGCTCAGCCTCCCAAAGTGTTAGGCTTGCAGGCATGAGCCACCATGCCTGGCCTGACTGTTGCAAGGCACACCTCGTCAAGACCAGCTCTCGAGATTTCCATCCCCACACTTCACTCTCCCCTCACTTTTCATTCCACATCATTCACAAATGCCATGAGCAGTTAAATTGGCATGTTACAGGCAGGGCACATTTGCCTTGTCCTCACCATATATTCACCCGGTAGATTTTAAAGACTCCAAAGAGAGAAAAATATGTATAATGGGGCAAGATCCAAACAAAGTCTTCATACTTTGCAACAATACACAACAGGGCACCTAGCTGTGTCCAGTGAATAACTTCCCTAAAATTCATAATCCAAAACCTCTTAATGGGATACCTTTCCACACAGATTTTAAAACTTGGGCAGCCAATATCGTCAAGAAATATGTTTTCTTTTAAATGAACCTAATAGTACAGTAAGTGCAGGAGAGTAAGATGGCTTTCCATCTTCTGTTTTAAATCATAAACTCCATGATGGAAAAAGTAGAAAAATATTTCTCATTTAAAAGTAAAGGGGAAAGCCAGGCGTGGTGGCTCATGCCTCTAATCCCAGCACTTTGGGAGGCCAAAGTGGGAGGATCACTTGAGGTCAGGAGTTCGAGACCAGCCTGTTCACCAACATGGTGAAACCCCATCTCTACTAAAAATACAAAAATTAGCCAGGTGTGGTGGTGCATGCTTGTAATCCCAGATCCTTGGGAGGCAGAGGCAGGAGAATTGCTTGAACCCAGGAGGCAGAGGCTGCAGTGAGCCTAGATCGTGCCACTACTGCACTCTAGCCTGGGCAACAGAGGAAGACTCCATTTCAAAAAATAAAATAAAATAAAAATAATAAATAAAAGTGAAGAGGATACCCCATTTGCCTTGCTGCAATGCATTGATTGCATGCCTGTGTCAAAATATCTCATTACCCCATAAATATATACACCTACTCTGTACGCACAAAAATGGAAACTAAATTTTTTAAATGGATGTAAGGAAGTCAAGCCTTTTACTCAACAGGTTAATTGGCTAACATCCACATGTAATAATAGAATATATAATTGAAGCGTTCTAAGTGCCACCTAAAAAGGAAAATTAAAAGTCTCTCTTAACTGCTAAAATTTTTATTTCACTTTTGAATTTTTACACTTTTCTTGATTATTCCATGTAAGGTAAAACAATAACTGTTTAAAAGACATACACACACCTAGTAAATCAATAACCAGGCATTTTTTCTTTTCTTTTCTTTTCTTTTTTTTTTTTTTTTTTGCTATTCTATTTTCCCAAAAACAGGTATGCTTGCTAGGCAATAGAACCATCACAGAAGCAAACATTAGGCAGAAAACTGGTAAGGAAAAACAAAGCTACCAGATACACAAGACAAGCTTGGTTGCACATTCACTACTCATTTTCAAGCAGCAGGTATTAACCGAAAGCACATTCTTTTGTTCAGCTAGAAAGGAGAGCCGGGCGCGGTGGCTCCTGCCTGTAATCCTAGCACTTTGGGAGGCTGAGGAGGGCGGATCACGAGGTCAGGAGAACGAGACCATCCTGGCTAACACGGTGAAACCCCGTCTCTACTAAAAATACAAAAAATTAGCCGGGCGTTGGTGGCGGGCGCCTGTAGTCCCAGCTACTTGGGAGGCTGAGGCAGGAGAATGGCGTGAACCCGGGAGGCGGAGCTTACAGTGATCCGAGATCGCGCCACTGCACTCCAGCCTGGGCGACAGAGTGAGACTCCGTCTCAAAAAAAAAAAAGAGGGATTTTTAGTGTTGTTTTTTCTTTTTCTTTTTCTTTCTTTCTTTTTTTTTTTTTTTTTTTTTTTTTTTTTTTTTTTGAGGTGGAGTCTCACTCTGTCGCCCAGGCTGGAGTGCAGTGGCGCGATCTCAGCTCACTGCAAGCTCCGCCTCCCGGGTTCATGCCATTCTCCTGCCTCAGCCTCCCAAGTAGCTGGGACCACAGGAGCCCGCCACCACACTCGGCTAATTTTTTTTTTCTTTTTGTATTTTTAATAGAGACTGTTTTGTCTTTTTTGGT